>NC_000010.11:106052186-106355216 GCF_000001405.40 Homo sapiens | reverse complement strand
TTGGCTCTTTTCTATAAAAGGGAGGCCCTGTGACATGGTGAAAAGAAGGTGGGTTTGGAATCAGACAATCGGGATTTGAAATCCCTATTGTATTTCTTATTAGCTGTGTAACCTTTGTCTATTTCATTACCTTTAAGAACCTCAGATATCTAATGTGGAACAAGGGGATCAAAATAGCCAACAAAAGCCTGGGATGAAGATTAAACAAGGTAGCACATGCTGATCACCAGGTACATAGCTTATGTTCAATAAATATTAGTTGCTTTCATAATTCTTTTCCATACTTTGGGGTACATTATAATTTGAATACCACTTGGATAATTTGAGTCTTGGATAACAGAATTTCACTGAAGGGTTTGCATGCACGGTAGTTTATTTTGAAAAGTGATCTCAGGGAACAGAAGCAAGGGGCTGAAGAGGGGGAATCAGGGAAAGAAGAAGAGCTTATATATAGATGTGCCCTATGGTCTGTTTTTGTAGTGATCACCTGTGGTCTGAGTAGCAAATTGAATGTGCCACAGGATTACCCACAGAGGGACAGAAGAAGAATGTATCTATGGACATCTCCCTTCATGCCACCAAACTGATCGAGGGTTACTCTTTGGCATACTAACTCCTTCTCACTTCTAGGTTGCACATGTGTGAGTGCTGGGTGGTTTCCAGCAACTGTTCAACACTACCACTGCACATCCAGAGAGGCACAGGGGCAGAAAGCCATAGAAAATGCTGCCACTGAGGTAAGAAGTTTTGTAGTTACACCTCCATGAAGTTGGTTGCTGCAGCAATGCTTGGAAGACAAGGTGGGTCCAGAGTTTGGAGAAGGGAAGGCACATGGCGTATTCAGTAGAGAATGACAAGGCAAACAAAAGTGAGATAATTAGTTCATAATGGGAAAGCCCATCTTGAAAAACATGGGTCATTTTTAATAAAACCATGAGCTAGTCCATTGATTTTTCAGCTCTGACATATAACATTTTTGTGAACTGCATGCTCTACAATTCTCTTTGATAATTTTTGAACAGAGCTAATTTTAGTTCTTTCCAATTGTCTTTCCAATTTCGCTGTAAACAAAGTGATAAAGCACACTTTTCAGATTTTTCCAGTCCATTTAGATTCTTTGGGTTGCAAAAGACTAATGCTTTCTTATGTCATTTAAAGCATCAGTGATTATTTAACAAGATGCACATGTGTAAAGATTCGGGGCACATTCTGAGACAGGCACATTTAATTTGTGCAAATTCCATTTTATTCGCTTTTCTATGAGGAGAAGTGAAACACTTGAAATGCATGAGACATTTTTGTGACTATTCCACACTCAATTAGCATATTCCAGGAGCAACCGTAAGCTGGAAAATGGAAATTTGCTATTTCCTTGGTCATTCTCTCTTCTAGTGAAAACTAGAAAACTAGAAGGATTCACATGAAATCCTGGGGATTACAGAGTTTAAAGAAGCATAGTTATTTTTTTTCACAGGAAATTTCTTACAAAACAAGATAGCCACTTCATCTAGTACTCAATGAAAGAAACCATGAACTGGTTCAAAGCTAGGAGAAAAATAATAATATTTGTGTCTATATTGCCATTCTCCCAAAGGATTTTTAAGGGAGATTATTCATTTTGGGTAAAATGTAATGCAACTGATGAGACAGATCAACAGGAGGGAAGAATCACTGGAAACCCCAGGGCCATTGAAACTTTTCAGTGCTTTTTTTTTTTTTTTTTTTTTTTTTGAGACGGAGTCTCGCTCTATCACCCAGGCTAGAGTGCAGCGGCGCGATTTCAGCTCACTGCAACTTCCGCCTCCTGGCTTCAAGCGATTCTCCCAAGTAGCTGAGACTACTGGCGCGTGCCACCACGCCCAGCTAATTGTTTGTATTTTTTAGTAGAGACGTGGTTTCACCATGTTAGCCAAGACGGTCTCAATCTCCTGACCAAGTGATCCGCCTGCCTCAGCCTCCCAAAGTGCTGGGCTTATAGGCGTGAGCCACTGCACCCCGCCTTGTTTTGTTATTTTACATGTTCTATAAATTGATCTTTTTTTTTTCCCTCAATGATGCTCCTTTTCCATAAGCTTGGCTTACTCGCAATTTTATATATTAGGACCTGTCATGGATTAAATTCTGTTTCAAGGTATTTTTTGATCATCCCTCTTTTAGGTAATGGCCTAATTTTCTGGTTTTTTTAGTTTGTTTTAGCTTAAATTCCCGAGAATCTACTCGACCCAGCCCATGATTTATTTTTCAGGATTTAGCATTTCAAGTGTTGCTGACCAGCCTGAAAATTTTCTTTTGGGGGTATCATTGTCCCCCTAAATCCTATTATTCCTTGGGGATTGGGCAAGGGCATAGGATCTGCATAGAGTTTTGCAAACAACAAATGAGGGCTATGGGTGAAACAGTTTCATGCAGAAAGGGGCTGTGGTTCTGACAGGCAATCTAAGAACCAGTCCATTTCCCCAGTTATTTAGTACAAGGAGTATTCTCTACTTTAATGGACAACAGCCAGCTACGTGCAGTCCTGTATATCATTCAGATAAAACTGCACTTGGAATTGAAGCTTCTTTAGCAAGAATTTTGTAGCTACAGTTCCTTGCATTTGTCTTCTCCTATTCTTGTTTTTGAAGTTGTCTAATTTTCCTCAATCTGAAATAGCTATGATTTTTATGATTCTTATTCTCTATATTCTCACTTAACTTTCTTTTGATTATTAAATAAACAACAATGAAACTCTTATTGTAAACTTCCTTGTGGACCAGTAGAACTGGAGAACTTAAATGTTGTATCATAATTAAAATTCCTTCTGTATCGTAATTAAAATTGCTAGACATTTTGAGAATATCCTAAGCTAAAGAGGACAAGGGCTTAGTTTCAATCAAGGACAAGGAAAAAATGTTTTGTGGTGACGTGGACATCAACATCTACTTGAAATCCAGCCATTTTGGGAAATATTTTGTTGGCTTTAATTAAGATGCATTTGTTCTATAGAGAAAGTTTTAAAGCATCCCCTCTTTAGACTATCATTCCAAAATAGTGAAAGAAATATTATTATTCACTATATATTAGCCAACTTCTTGAGGAATTTGAGTGTATTTAAAGTGGATAATATATAAAAGAAAAGGAAATGAGATGATATATGGAAAAGGAGAAAGAGGAAATTCATTAAAATTTAATTTCTATGATTTTTTTTCACTCATTAGGCATGGCTGAGCATGTTTTTATAGCACATATAATATTTTATAGCATTAAGTTAAATGGTTTCAGGTTTCATATAAATTCTTTTATTCTGTAAAGTGCTTCAGGACATAGCTCATTTCTGAGAGAGGTGATCTCATTATGTTTTTAAATGACAGCAGTATGTTCAGGTATTTTGCAAAATATATATTAATTAAATTTCCTGTATCTTTCCAGCATGATCTATACCATATAGACTATATCAAGATTTTCTCAGTCATTACAAAATATAATGTTGCAAAATTTCAATTTTTAAAATGTATTCATCCAACCATCCTCTCATCCTTAAACAATTACTAAATGCCCTTAATGAGGAGTAAAAGAACCTGTTTGTGTTTCAATAAGATGCAGAGATGAGTACAATAACCTTAAAGAGGAAGAAAACTATAAATGGTTATAATATAAATGAGTCTGTGCTAAATGTCATAATAAAGGTAGCAATAACAAGATTTCTGAGTTGAATATTGAAGAAATTGCTAGGTACATGATCAAGAAAAACTGCATGAGGAAATAGGCATTTGGGATGCTCCTCAAGGAAGAGGTAGGAAATTAAGGGGATTAAGGGATATTAGGCAAGGACGAAGAGACTATAGGCAAGAGCAATGGTACACTGAAGACGGAAGCGTAAAACACTGGGGAAAATCCATAATAAACATAAAATTGTAAGAGGAAAATTCTGCACAATAGAGCTGAAAAGGAAGAATGAAGCATGAGTGTTGGGCACCTTGAATGCCAAGCTAAGGAGTTTTGGTATTTTCTTTGTTCAGTGGATGGGACATAAATAGGTTACCAGATGTTTCAGCAACTAATCTGCTACAAAAGGACACATAAGACCTCTTCGAACTCTGAGTATGCAAAATGTGATTTATGTATTTATTCAACTACGTCTTAAGAACAAATTTTTTCTCTGTGCAACTGAAATTGCCATTGAGAGGGGCAGCAAAGCCCCAAACACGGAAAAGATGAACTATTCTAAACAGCTCCATGTTTTATATATTAATTTTTCTTCACAAATAGCTGGAGTAAAAGTCTTTCTTTGTTGTTTGATCGAATGAATCACTGCAGAGCAAAACCACACTTCATGCTCTACAAGGTCAAGTGCCCCTGAGAGGAACATCTCAGTGAAACTTCAAAACTGCTGTGTTTTCAGATCTTGGTTCTCAGGAGAATAGAGATAGGCAGGAGCAGGGGAAAGATCGTTGTTCTATGAACATTTGCAGACATTTCTCTCTGGTGGGTGCTCACACAGGGAGATCCGATGCTTGATATGAGTAGAAAAATACTAACTGCCATTAGCGAGGACATGTGGCATCATTAACAGGCACTATCCTTTGTTGTCTGGGTTCCTCAATGAAGGATAAATGAAGAGATGCAAAGAATATTAGAAGCTCCAATAAAAGAAAATTAAGCACATTCAGAGTCACACATTGAAAACTTATGAAATCAGAAGGGCTCTAAATAGCTTTGGTAAGAATAATGAGGAAACAGTATAATCAGTGTAACTCAGCTAAATGGATACTTTGCAAGCCAAATGCAGTATATAGAAGTTAGAGACTCAGGGAGGCAGTCAATAAATATTCATTAATGATGCTAAGAATCAGAAGATGGTTTAAACTCATGAAATCAAGCATACATGTCTTCATTGTTGGAATTTTTCTAGATCTAGATAATTCCAGCCATTGCTTTTAGGTTCACATGGAAAAGCAAAATATGCTATTCTCTTTGGGCCTCAGTTTTCTCATTTGCAAAATAAAAGGTTTGGACAGGGATCAGAAAACTACAGCCTAAGGGCCAAATCTGACCCGTTGTCAGTCTTTATAAATAAATTTTTGTTAAATGTAGTCATGTCTATTTGTTTATGCATTGCCCATGGCCATTTTTGGGCTACCATAGCAGTTAGGTAGTTGCAACAGAGACTGAATGGCTTGCAAAGACAAAAATTTTTCCCTCTGTCCCTCAGAGTTTGATAACTACTGGACTGGATGATCTCTTAAGTCAGTTAAAACAATCCACAGTGTAAGAGTACATTCCAATGTTTATTAGAGCTGGAGTCTATTATTCAATTTATAAAGGAAAGACTTCCAAAATATGACACATTTGTGTTCTTGACAAACACTGGGTTAAGGGATTTTTAAGGAACTTGCACAAACAATTAGCAAGTTCCTTAAAAGCCACAGACTCTTCTAAAGCAAAATAGATCCTAAATAACCATTCTTCTTTCTCTCACTGGAACTGCACAATTATTGCTGCATTCAACTTGATTAGTTGATACTTCATTAACTTGAAATTTTCTACAATCCAGGGAGACTGGACTGCAATATACCATTATTGCTTTTTTTAAAAAAAAGGATTTGTTGAAGATGAACATAGTGAGAAAATGGTTATGGGAAAGTATTTCACCCTACAAACTGAACCTCCTTAAAATATGAATTAAGTTGGTAATGACAATGTTTCCCCCCAAATTTTCTGTTTGCTGTTGAAACAGATTCCAAAATATTCCCCCTTCCCCCATGAAAACCTCAGTTTGCCATTTGAGTTGAAGACTTAATGGTCTATTATTTAGATTGAAACGATCTGGGTCCCAATTGCAGGGCTGAAAGTTCATCAGGTTTCTTAATTTCCTTAAGTCTCATCTACCCCAAATTTGTTGATCCTCCTCCCATCAAGTGGTGGGGACTATGTACCTTCCCTTTGAATCTGGGTGGCTTGTGACTCTTCAATCAATAGAGTATGACAGATTTCACTTAGCATAGCATCCTCCAAGCTCATCCATGTTGTCACAAATGGCAAGTTTTCCTCCCTTTTTATGGCTGATGTTGATTAATTTGATTGTGGTAACCATTACATGTACACATCTATGACATCATCAGGTCTTGTACCTTGAATATATACAGTTTTTATTTGTCAATTATTCTTCAGTAAAGCTGGAAAAAAATAGGGTGTGGCAGAAGTAGGTATGGTCATAGAAGATGATGCAGTTTCTGCCTTAGTCTCTGGAATACTTGCACCTGGGTCTCTGAGCCACCAGGTCAGAAGTCTGACAAGACTGAGGTGTGGACACGCTGCAAGGAAGGCAAGCCACTCAGCAGTCTTGGTTTTCAAGTCTTTTCTGCCTTGATGCCCAATGTGAGAGCAAAGGAGATCGCAGGTGATTCCTTCCTTCAATCCTTGAGTGACCCGAGCCTTCAAGCCTTCCCAGACTTGATTCCAGACTTTGGAGAACCAAGAAAAGCCATCCCCGGAAATAATAAAATATGAAATAAATAATAAAATGTTTGTAGTTTTAAACTACTACATTTTGGGGATAGTTTGCTTAGCAACAGCAATAATAAAACTGTTCTGCCATCTACAAAAGAGAAACAATATTAATCAATGTGATACAACTGTGTTGGGAAGACCAAACAAAATTGTAAATAAAATACTACAATGCCTGATCTATCATAAGCAGTAAATTATAGCTATTCATACACATTTCCTGAAAATGATAATTTAATTTAATTCTACTTTTATTCATTGTGACTAGGTTCTAAATTCCTTTTACTGTTTCTCTATAGTACCCACGTATCCAGTCTCACTACCACAAAAATAGAAGGTATGAATTTTAAAAGATCAAGCTCAGACATTCAATAAAGCAGACTGATTCCTAAAAGATATGTATATAATAGGAAACTAGAATCCAGATAAAAAGTTAATATAAATTATTATTATTTTTTTACCAATTTATTGGAATAAACATTTATAAAATGCCTACAATGTGCCAGACCCTCTGATACAGCTCATGATAAACATCCATGGGGAAAATGTGTGCTTTGCCTTTGACCTAACACAATAGTTGCTGTAGTTACTTATTTAGTAACACCACCCTTTTTGGCTAGGAGTTAGTGATCCATCATCTTTCATCTTCTCAGATCTGACAGACACTGGCATACACCATAAGACCATAAATGATCACCAAATCTCAGGACTTTCTCTCATTGAGGATTCAGATCTAAATGTCTCCTTGAAGTTTATCCTGCTCTTTTGGCTTGTCAATAAACACAGTGTTGTAGAGTTTGTGTGGCAGATACTGTGGGTGAGCAGCATGAAATTCAAATGCACAGTGAATTGAAGTGACATTTTTTTATCCAAAGCAATTCCATTCAAAGCCACATCATTTCAGAAGGGCACCAGTACTGATGATAACAACTGCGCATTGAGACTACTCTGAGTAGACAAATTGTCTTGCATTTTAGCTAATGAACAAGCACTGTGGTAAACAGTTCTTTGCTTCAGGGTCATAATTCAACTTGCTATTTGCTCCTTTGGACGTTCATACAGGGTTTGTTAAATTAGGCAGTAATTTTTGATTATGTGCTGCCATCCTAATGGTTATGATCTTTTGCAGAACTCTTAACAGATTACAGTGGGATGGGACTGCAGAGATATACTAGGAACTCAAGGGAAGGTAGAATTAAGAAGCAATTTGTTGGCCAAGAGGCCTCCATCTTCTTTACCCTGCAGACATTAGAAGAAATAAAAGACAATGTTGGATTGGTGGGGGGTGATGGTAGTTTGGGGTCGATTAAGTGCCAAGCATTGTTATAGACACTCCATGTACATTTTCCCGTTTAATCTTCATGATAACTCTGCAAGGGAAATACTTATCTTTCATTATCTAGAAGAGGAAAGTGAGGTATAAATTAAAGGACTTGCTCAATGTGAAAAGAATTATGACTTTCTGAAGTGTGAGGTTATAGCTGTCTCACAGGCAGAGCTGTTTAAGTCCATAAGTCAAATGGTTAAACAGTAGGCATAAATCTCTCTACGATAGTTTTAGAGTATTGATACATAGTTTTAAATAATCCTTAAACACATTATAAAATTAGTGCATACTTAATTAGGAAAATGGGAAGACAGTAGCTAATAAAGAGTTAAACTGATACTACCTTTAATCCTACTACCTAGAAATAAGCATTGATAAGATTCTGATGGACTATGTTTACTTATAACATTTTTGCTATGATTTTGACCTAAAAAGTCTTCCCCTCTTATACTACAAGTAATATACTTATTTATGAAAGGCAGAAATGTATAAAGAAAGAAGTAAAAATCACAAAGAATTTCACACAATCCAGATATATTACATGTAGGGAAATTTTCATACAAAACATACCTGTATACTTATATGTATATGTTCATGTATAAGTACATAATTTAAATATATTAATTTATATTTTCTACGAAATTGGCATCATATCCTTTATACAATTGTATATGCTTATAAAACCACTGTCATTGTCTTGCTAGGGAAATCATCTATTTAAATCAGATTTATTAGGGGAGAGGAAGAAGAAGAGAAAAGGTAGAAAAGGAAAGAGAGAAGGTGGGGAGGGTTGGAAAGGAAGGGAGTGGGGAATGAGAGAGAAAGGGACTAGTTTTTAGTTGTGTAAGTTCTGACTCTATCAGCCTTTAGTATAAATGCAATAATTCATCTTCATCTGTGTTTTTCTATTTTAGTCTCTATTGTACATCATTATCAAAGATTATTATTAGGAACAAATTTATACTGCATTTAACAGCAGAGAGCCAATTTATAAGTCTTGTACTCATAGGACATCTCCTAATATCACCATTATCATACCATCTCCATCCTACTCATCACCATCATCATTATCTAACACTTACTGAGTGCTCAACCCTGCCAGTTCTTCAGATTTTATGTAAGACATGACACTTAATTCTTACCACCTTCTAAAGTAGGGGCAATATTTAATTTCATTTTGCAGATGAGAGATCTGAGATCGAGAACTACTAGATACATTTCCCAAAGTCTCACCACTAGGAAATAGTGCTGAGATTTGAATCTAGGTTTTCTGACTCCTAAGGCCATGATTCCAGTTCTGAAAATTATACTATACTGATTGGCTTGATCAAAAGTTGGGATCATAGCTGCGGTATTTGCCATACAGCTTGACAGTAGAGTCACAGGTCACAGAAAGATAGAATTGTCACATTTTAGAATTGGAAAGAATCTTGGTTGATAGCCTAAGGTTCAAATGTTAAATCTGAAGAAAATAGAAGCCAGAAAAGTGAAAATACCTTGCCGAAAATCACCTAGCAGGCTGAAGACTTATCCCACATGGCTTTTAGATCAGTGCCCTATAAACAGAAAAGCAAACCAGAACATAGAATGGGAGGAAGGTCAGTGCTCTGAACCGATAGCACTGAGACCATTTCCAAGTCCAACCATGTGGTAAACTTGTCATGTGACCTTAGTCTAGATATTTAATCTCTGAAAAATCTGTTTCTATTTTTCCTTTTCTTTTATTTTTCTTGTTGAAAGAATGGGGGTTAGAATAAGTGACACTCAAAGGCAAAGGCTAAAATACAGGCTTTCACCCCTGAATGTGAAGTTCAACTTCAGCATCTGTGGGTAGCTCTTCTTACCTTGGGTAAGTCACTTGGCCTCTCCAACCCTCATTTACCCTAACTTTAAAATAGTGATAAGAAGAGTCCCTCCTCAGGGATTGATGTGAGGATAAATTGAGATAATCTAAACAAAATGCCTGGCTCATGATATGTACTCAATAAATGATAGTTATCTAAAGATCCTTTAGGCTCTAAAATTAAGTGTTACAAATCAGTAAATACTCACTGGCTATCTACCATGGCCCAAGGTCACCTACCAATACCAACTTGGAAATGTACATTGCTTACAGAAACTTTTTGTTTTAACTTCCCTGAATGTTAGGTCTTTCAGTTTAAAAAGTAATGTTCCGTTCAAGTTTTCTAGGATCATGCAGAGAGAAACAAAGAGGGGGAGTAAACACACACAGAGACCATTTTGCTATATGCCTTTCCCAAGTTTAAATACTTAAGTCTGAACTAGCTCTTTTCTCTCTTACAATTTCTATTTGAAACCTCTTCATTTTAAGTGTCGTATACATATTTATGGATGGTTTTATTTTCCTGGATCTCTTCTAGTTCAACTCTTGCTTTTTCAAAACAAAAAGCAAGGAGGTATACTTTTGTAACTATTTTCAGGAAGTAAGAGCTACTTCCTGATAATGTGGCAGGCTTCACTGATACCATTTCAACATTCTATAGTTTGGATACATTTTATACTACAGTTTTTCCTCCAAGTGGCATTGTTCTTTTCTTCTCAATTACATAAAGTATTGGCATATATTGATGTATTGACCATATCTAATTATTCCTTTCAGCTTTGTTCACAAATACTAAAAGAAAAACAATGCAGTTATCATTTCTATGTCCATCCTTAAAAGACCCATCAATACTTAATTCCTAGGTTTTGAGTGTTCGTAAGTTTTTCTTAAGTCTTTCATTCATCTCAAAGTATCCCTTGGTGATTCAGACATGTTGGAAGTGTGGCACATGAGGTTGAATTGCCTCCTTAAATTAAGGCATACCTCTGAATACTAGAAATTTATGAAGAGAAATTTATTTGCCTCTGTTACATCAAAGTGATTAACATGTTCACTAAGCAAGGTTAGGTGACAAAATGCTGACGGTGTGACACTATTCCCTCTGCCCAAACATATTAAATGGCTTCCATTACATATGACAAAATATACAAAGTGCCTAATGTGTGGTAGCCACTTTGATAGAGTTAGGCTATTTCAGGTGGTGAGAACAGAGATTGACTAAGGGGATGGGATCAATTCTGAGGATACAAGAGGAGGTCAGGATGCTCAGGAAGCCATGTCAGCAACCCTTTGGTGATTTTTTATTTATACAGACTATCCTGCACTTCCCAGTCTACTTCTATAGCAATTTCTAATATTCGTTTCACTTATTAGTACACACCTTATACCAGCTACTGTGTCATGCACTTTTTTGCATTTATGTAACCTTGCCTTCAAATACCCTAAGACAGAGCTTCTGATGGGCTTGGTTAATGTCTCAGTATGTAATATTGAATGTCCTTTGGGGCTGAGGTTTTTTTTTTTGTGTGTGTGTGTGTGTGGTGTGTGTGTGTGTGTGTGTGTGTGTGTGTTGAGACAGAGTCTCACTCTATTGCCCAGGCTGGAGTGCAATGGCATTATCTCAGCTCACTGCAACTTCCACCTCCCGGGTTCAAGCGATTCTCCTGCCTCAGCCTCCTGAGTAGCTGGGATTACGGGCTCCTGCCACTACGCCCGGCTAATTTTTGTATTCTTAGTAGAGACAAGGTTTCCCCATGTTGGCCAGGCTGGTCTTGACCTCCTGACCTGGTGATCCACCCAACCTCGGCCTCCCAAAGTGCTGGGATTATAGGCGTAAGCCACTGCGTCCGGCCGGGGCTGACTTCTTATCCCAGGAGATCACAAAGCTAGAGTCCTGTCTGTAGATAACTTATTTTGGCTCAGGATGTGAATCAGTAGACAACTGTATGATTGTGTGACAAAGTATCCTTTAGATCAATAAACCTCTTTATCTGTCTTAATGGACAGGAACCACATAACAAATAGGCACATCAAAGCTTCTTTCTGATTAGGGCAAAAAGGGAAAAATTGTAGATACGATTACCAGTAGTACAAGTGTTATTATTATCACAGTAGCTAATAGTTATTATCACATCAGCTAATTATATCAGTCACTTTTTATATGGAAACCTTTCTTTTTTATGTAGATGAAACTTACTGACATATGTTTATGTCCTTATATCTTCACAGAAAAAAACCTAAGGGAGAAATGTATGCTTGCTTTATACTAGTAATTAAAGAATTGGGGCTTTAGGAGATACTTGAGTTTACTGCAAGTAAGCTGTTCTGATTTGGGGAGAGCAGAATGGAGGGGGTGACTAAAACTACATCTGAAGACAAAAATCTAGTGGAAGCAGGGTCTTTATTTTGCAATGTGTTCACTTGAATTTACCACACAAAAATTATTTCTTCTGAAAAGAATGTGAGAGTTCATTAAATATGCATAACCTTTTTCTTTTCTTTTTTTTTTTTATTTCTTGAAAGCTTCTATTGCTTTGGATATCAAATGCACCTAATTAGTATAAGTTGATGTGTGACTCTTATTCCTCTTCTTAAGACAAGAGGGAAAAGGTCTCATTTGTATAAAATTTAGAGTTGTGAATTTTAAAGCATGGTTAAAAAATGAAATCATACATCTTAATTAAACTAAAAAGTTTATTTGTAGAATGACAGATAAAATTGACTTTTTTAGCAATACAATTTTGTGTGATGTAATAGAAAGTACTTTTGAAAACAAGTCAGGATATCTGAATGCTGGCTCAAACTCACTATTTCTGGGATATTGGGTAAGTTATTTAAACTTTGTTGTTTTGATTTAAGTTTTCTCATCTGCAAAATGATGTATTTTGATTAAATGATTTCTATTTTCTCCAAAAAGATTTGGAAATGCGTGGTATTATATACATATGATCTATTTACATCAATTTTCCTCTCTATTACAATCACAAATGTAACATAAAAATCATGAAAACTTACCAAGAACTTAAGTTTCTAATCAAGAATATTGAATTTATATGATTGCGTGTATTCAGACATTCAATAGGGATTCGGGAAAACATTTAGCTCCTGATACATATTGTTAGGTTTGAAAGGGAAGGCAAGGGTTAAAGAAAGACACACACACACACACACACACAAACAGAGAGAGAGAAAGAGGGTGGCTCAACAGCAAATGCAGGCTTTCTGCCCAGGATAAAACCTGCAGAAGTGGGGGACAAGCCTAATGCCAGAGCCCACCGCTGCTTACAGGCTGGGGGTACTTATAGGTATGGGCGGGAGGGGTCTTGGCAGTATGGCTTGCTGCCCAGCAGGATACTAATAAGATGTTCCATGATGAAGTGGTTCTGGGCCTTGTTCCGGTGGGATGTCATCATGGTGTTCCTTGGATCTTTGTCCAGCAAGATCCGATAGGGATGTTTCTTTCGTTGGGCCTTTGTCTGCCTTGTGTTCAGGTGGTTAGGCAGGAGATTTCTCATGGCCCGAACCCCTGTGAAATGTTTAACTTTGACTAAGGTCTGCAAAATAGCAGGGAGCTTACAAAATGGTGCAGTTTGGACTAACACATATCAGTATCTTTCCGGTACTTTCATATTTCTTTCTAGCAAGGCTTCTTTAAATATTGAGCCAATTAACTGAATTTTGGAACAAAGATACCGTTTAGCCCACCAAATCTAGAAATAACATTCTCTCTACAAATTGTATCCTGAGTCCATTTATGACTTTCTACCCTTGCTCCACAATTCCTCCTCCACCTGCACAACTCACGGATATACAGAAGGTTTTGTAGCAGCATCGAATGATGAAGATCAGCTCTCACAGGACAAAGTTTCAAGCATTTTGCAAATTCTAACCAGAAGAAAAAAAAATCCCCAAAACTTTAGCAATTGCTGTGCTCCCTTAAGGATGAAGATGACAGCTGTTTTAACAGCTGGAAAGTCACGTCTTCTGACAGCTCAGCAAAAGAGCTGTAGACTGCTGAACATATCAGAAAGAAAGTGTGCGTGAGCAAGCTGTCTTAGAACTTCTACAAGACAAATTGATCTAACAGCTTTGCTCCTCTGAATAGTTTATAACCAGAAACTGTCAGCAGGTTGGATCCAAGACCTGGGAACATTGCCAGTGCTCCATCACTCTGAAGTCCCTCCTAGGGTCTCAGATTAGGAATGCTTTAAGGGGAATGAAAGTTCTTACTTGATAATTAGTGTTACTGATCTGAAAAAACATAATACCTGATCAGTTGTATTTAATGAAAGCTGACTGAAATGCTACATGGGCAAGGGGAAGGAGAGAGGCTCTTGAAAGATTTTACAGAAAAAGTTATAGGCTAGGAAAAAAGGAAATACATACAGTTAATTATTGTTAAGAGTATTATGAATTGTTTTGCCCAATTTTCAGCATGAAAGCATATCATTTTCAATTATTGTCTAAATATAGTTTCTAAGATATCATTCATTTGTTCATTCATTCATTCATGCTTTCCATGTGCTTATTGAGCACTTACTATATCAATCATCTACTATATGTTAACACTAGGTTAGATGCTGAAATGTATATTACCTACCCTCATGAAACTTGCTAGGGAGACAATTATTAATCAAAGAATTCTAGTGAATGGTATGTGCAAATGTCTATAAGCAAAACAAACAAAACTCCCCAAATTCCCAATAAATTGAAAGAAAGGATAGTGGTGCCTAAGTGTGTAGGCAAGAGCAAGTCAAGACTTTGTAGGCCACATAAACTTTAGACTTTACCTTAAACATAGTCAGAAGCTTTGGAAGCCTCAAACGAGGGAAAAAGAGACATGATTAGAGTTTCCTTTATCACTGATCTTTTGGCAACAGAATGGAGATTTGCAGAAGTGCTTGCAAGACATGATGGAGAATTGGCTTTAGAATATAAGTTAAGAAACTGTTGCTGTGGTCAAGAAAGGAGATGATACTGATGACTTGGCCAGTTGTGGGAATATAGAGAGGTAAACAGATTTGAGAGACAAGGAAGTAGAATGCATGGGATCTGGCTATCCATTCAGGCCATTGTGCATAAGGAACAATCTGAATTATTAATTTTCTCAAATCTACAATAATTTTAAAGCAATATTTTACTGAGTTAATAGAAGCAGCTACAAAGTAGTACTAATTTATTTCACCCCTACTTTTTGTGTGTGTGTGTGTGTGTGTGTGTGTGTGTGTGTGTGTATAAAGTATAAAAATAGAGGAAAGGATGGTCCATGATGTTCAATTATATATTTTATCATAATCATGATATAATTAACTATATGTGTCTATATATGTATGTATATGTGTGTGTATATATGTCTATGTGTGTGTATATACAGAAATGCACATATAGTTAACTATATATTCAATTTCTACAGTTGTATAGAAAATAATATATATTTATAGATAAATATTATAAAATTATATAATAATTCAGTTATATATGTAATTCAAGCTTCATAAAGGGCCATGAATAATTAAATAATTATATATACACATATATTTAAATACAGATACAATTATTTAGTTATTTTTGGAGCTTAATGTAGCTTATATAAAAGCTGATGGTTTCAACACAATGATAAAAGAATTATCTCCAAAATGCATATTCAGTATCAACTGTTTCTTATTCCTCTATAGTAGAGATTGAAAAATTATAGACTATGCTCCAAATTTAGCTCATGGCTTGCTCTTTTAAAAAAGGGTTAATTAGAGCACAGATATACTCCCTTTACATATTATCTATAACTGCTGTTTAATTACAATAGCAATGTTGAGTAGCTGTGATAGAGAATATATGGCTCACAAGTCTAAAATATTTATTATCTAGCTTTTTACAGAAAAAGTTTGTCAATCTCTGCTCTATTGGTACATAAACTAACCCTATAATATTCATTTAGACTGTTGATTAGAACACTTCTTTCTGGATATTTTACAGCATAGAAAATGAATTACATTGTGGGATTGTGAATTTTTTAAATATTCATAAAAATCCTCGTAGCATTAAAGGATTTAGAAAGATATATTTACCACTGAGAAATAGTTCCTACAAAGGAAATAATAATTACATTAGCCAGACGCATTTTAAAAATTATGATTCCCTTCAGAAATCTGAAGAAATGGATAACTTTGATAGGCTTTGGTGTTACTTTTGGATGCCAAATTCTATAAGGGTCCATCCATCTCATACTTAAGAATTTCAAAGACTGTATTGAATATGGCATACTGAAATGTTTACATATTTGTAAAATAGATAAATTGAGCCAAATAAATATTTGCCAGTATTTTGCATTTGGAACAGTGAGTAGATCATCAGTTACCTAAATTATAGGTTAAATAAATATATAGACTTCTCTCTCCCATTCCCACCTAGCCAAAACTGAATTACACATTTTCGGTGTATATTGATAGCTGCTGGAGTCTCTCTGATGCTACTTAGATATCACATGGCAAAAAAGAGAGGCTTTTAAATTTTTTTCCTGAAGTCCTTTCATCCTGATTGCTTGTTATAAAACTATTAGCCAATGTCAAATCAATTTGACTGGATTCCTACAAAAATAAAGTTTAGGTTCAAATTAACTTTTCACCAAATGATTTTCACAAAGCATGAAATTATCTCAGTGCTGCGAATCACCAACTAAAATTACACCCTTGTCAAAATTTTCCTAATTAGTCATTACTCACAGCAACTGGCTCTTTTTTTCTTTCCTTTACACAACTGGAGCTATTTGCACTGAGAGAGGATGATGCTTCTGCTAACCAATTGTTACTGGAAACTAGCCCTGTGAATAGATCCCCTTGCAGCTGAGAAATTCCTCGTGGGATGTGTTAAGCATATCCTTGACCACAACAGCAGTGATAGCCACATTCCCCTTGTGAGAAAGTACCATGGCAGAGTCGTTAGAAAGTTCTAGCAACATGCCTCCTGTAAGCTACACACCATATATCAATAGCTCTGTTAAAAGACAGTTGTCTTCCCAAAGGAGAGAGAGTCTGAGTGTTCTCTGTACTTGCATCATCCTTGGTGTTCTTTATTCTTCAATATCCTTGGTGACCTAATACAAAACTGTTCATTTTTTAACATTATGAATATAGGCATTTTTCTGTATGTGGCTATACACATGTGTACTAATTTCTTTCACACCTGCTTTCGTGTGTATCTGTATAAACACTGTTTATATCCACATGAAATTCCTCCTAGGATATATATACATACCCCATCCCTCATAGTATACATTTTTTTGTTTGCTTGTTTGTTTTGAGATGGTCTCACTCTGTCGCCCAGGGTAGAGTGCAGTGGCACCATCTTGGCTTACTGCAACCTCCGCCTCCTGGGTTCAATAAATTCTCCTGTCTCAGCTTCCCAAGCAACTGGGATTACAGGTACCCAGCTAATTTTTGTACTTTTAGTAGAGATGGGGTTTCATCATATTGACCAGGCTGGTCTCAAACTCCTGACCTCAGGTGATCCTCCTGCCTCAGCCTCCCAAAGTGCTGGGATTATTGGAGTGAGCCCCCGTGCCTGGTCTATATTATATATTTGTATGAGAGCTGGGATATGTGTGTGTGTGTGTGTGTGTGTTTATATATATCTTAGTTATTGTGTAATTTCTCAGCTGCAAGGAGATCTACTCACAGGGCTGGTTTCCAGTAACAATTGATTAGCAGAGGTATCCTCCCTCAATGCAAATAGCACCAGTTGTGTAAAGAGGAATAAAAAGAGCACCCCCCCCCAAAAAAAAAAAAAAAAAAATACAGAGCCACGAGATAAATTAAGACCAAAATATGGCTTTTAGAATTCTGAGTACACAGTATAAAGAATTACATAGAATACTTTGTACATATTCTTCAGTGGAGGCAAGTAGATCCTTTCCTCAAACTTAAAGATTAATTCTCTCCTATTCTATCAGATCTTAATTTTATTTGCTATTTGTCATTGAAATGGAGGAGAGATTATTTCACAATGTATCAAGGTCTTATTAAGCAAAAAAAAATTGTCTCTATATTTCCATTCCTTTCTTCAATCATCAAACACCTGATAGAAGCCATCCTTGAGGATGCAAAAGTGAATTCAGACTTTTTTTCTGATATGATTAACAATTAGCCAGGTGCAAAAGGTAGAAGGAGCGTTAATCAGGCAAAAGGGACCACATGTGCAAAAGCTTGAGGTGAAAAGAGAGCTCAATGAATTTTATATGTGCCTTGAATAAAAATCCAGACCCTTAAAGGGGCCTGCAGAGTCTTGGATCATCAAGCCCCTCCATCCCTCCTGACATGATATTATTCTACTTTCCATTTCATGATCTGTGATGGTTAATATTAAGCGTCAACTTGTTGGGATTGTACCTGGCTGTTTCCGGGTGTTGCCAGCAGAGATTAACATTTGAGTCAGTGGACTGGAAGAGGAAGTGCTACCCTCCGGAAGACCCACCCACAATGTGGGTGGACACCATCCAATTGGCTGCCACAGTGGCTAGAAAAAGGCAGAAGGTAGAAGAAGCTAACTTGGTGTGTTTACCAGCCTTCATATTTCTCCCATGCTGGATGCTTCCTGCCTTCGAACAAGAGACTCCAGGTTTTTCGGCTTTTGGACTTTTGACTTACACCAGTAGTTTGCCAGGGGCTCTTAAGGCCTTTGGCCACAGACTGCAGGCTGCACTGTCAGCTTCTCTACTTTTGAGGTTTTAGGACTCGGATTGAGGCACTACTGGCTTCCTTGCTCCTAAATTTGCAGACGCCTATCGTGGGACTTCACCTTGTGATCATGTGAGTCAATTCTCCTTAATAAACTCCCTTTCATAGATACATATATCCTATTAGTTCTGTCCCTCTGGAGAACTCTAATGAGACAGAAGAGTTCCCTGGACCCCTTCACCGGACTTGCATCAGGGTTGTGGCTTGCTTACTCAACCACTGCGCCCAAATGCCTTATGGGAGGGGGAGCACCCAGGCAAGCAGGTGCCGTGGCTGGGGTGAGCTTTGGGCTCCAGCCCCACGGTAGTGTCTACAGGTGTGTTACAATTAATGCTCTTTCAGCAGTTGCCATCTGCAGGTGGCTATGTGACTCTCCACCAGTTCAGTGGAGAGTCAAGGTGACAAGTCTGTTACACCCTGCTCTCTTGGTACCCGGGTCCTTGTCCGGTGTCCAGGAAGAATCAGGTCTCATGCACTTGAAGGGCGGTGAATGCAGAGGTTTTACTGAGTGACGGAGGTGGCTCTCAGTGGGTTGGATGGTGAGCTGGAAAGGGGATGGAGTGGGAAAAGGGTGATCATTCCCTGAAGCGCAACCGCTCCTCCTCGGTGAAGCCGCATCTATATGTAATCTCCCACACTGAGTTGCCTCTTCTCCTCTTAACATTCGACTGCTTGTCTCTTCTCTCCTTCTCTGCCCTGTTGCTCTGCCACTCTGCCATTCCCCTGCTCATGGAGCCTGGGGTTTGGGGTTCTTATGGGCACAGGATAGGGGGCGGGGTGGGCCAAAGTGGTCTTGGAAAGGGCAATATTCAGGCATGAAAACAGGAATGGCTGTTCTCATTTAGGGCTGCGGGCCCAGGCTTGAAGGTAGAGCCCTCTCCGGGGACTCCGCCCTCCTGCCTCCTGTCCATATCACTAATACTTGACCTATGCATTTTATCCAGGCTTTTGACAAGGCGCGTTCCTTCTAAACTTTAGATCTATACTTAACTATCACTTGTTCAGTAAGCCCTAAACCCACCCCAGACTAACTCCTACTTCATTATTCTGTTACCAAACCTTCTTTATTTCATCATTCTTACTACGTGCCATAATTCTCTCCTATTCCATCAGATCTTAATTTTATTTGCTATTTGTCATTGAATTCTGAGTACACTGTGTACTCAGAATTCTAAAAGCCATATTTTGGTCTTAATTTGTCTTGTGGCTCTTTTTTTTTTTTTTTTTGGCTCTTTTTATTCCGCTTTACACAACTGGTGCTATTTGCATTGAGGGAGGATGATACTTCTGCTAATCAACTGTTACTGGAAACTAGCCCTATGAATAGATCTCCTTGTAGCTGAGGAATTCCTCAATAACTAAGATATATATATAATATATATATATACACACACACACACACATATATTATATATATGGCAACAGGTTCCTAGGGTGTGTGTATACACACACACACACACACACACACACACATACATATATCCTAGCTTTCATACAAACATATAGTATGGGCCAGGCATGGGGGCTCATGCCAATAATCCTAGCACTTTGGGAGGCCGAGGCAGGAGGATCACCTGAGGTCAGGAGTTTGAGACCAGCCTGGCCAATATGATGAAACCCCATCTCTACTAAAAATACAAAAATTAGCTGGGTACCTGTAATCCCAGCTGCTTGGGAGGCTGAGATAGGAGAATTTCTTGAACCCAGGAGGCAGAGATTGCAGTAAGCCAAGATGGTGCCACTGCACTCTAGCCTGGGCGACAGAGTGAGACTCCATCTCAAAACAAACAAGCAAACAAAATATTTAGTATGTGGGATGGGATATGTATATATATATATCCTAGGAGGAACTTTATTTGGTAGAAATATAGTACATACTTTAAAAATGCACATTCTGAAAATCTACTGGACAAAATCCAATGATAATGCTGGACAGTTAATCAGAAGTCAACTCATGTAGACCATAAAGACCTTGTCAATAAGGACTTTAAAGTTTATTTTAAGAGCAATAGGGAGTTGTGGATAGTTCTAATCTGGGGTTAAACTATCGAACTGCATGAACCATCCTTTCCTCCTTTTTTTTACTTTTTTGTAATGCCCTAGTACCTTCCTGCTGTTGTTTTCCTTGGATTTCCAACCAAGAATCAACCACCCCCTGCTGTGTGACTCGTATAACAATACTCTACCATTAAAATTATTTTTCTTAGGTGTGTGTACTATAAGATTCTGAGCAACAAGAGAGTAATGATCATTTTATTCCCTGTGTCACACATAGTGCCTGCTCAAGAGCTGGTGCTCAGTATTTACAAAATGATGAACCAATAGAACAGAGAAAATCTGGATACTTGGTACTATAGAAGTGGGAGGATTGGAGGACAATGGGTTTTGGCTAAGTTTCCTTGGACAATAGAGTTTAGAATCATTATTACTGCCAAGACATATTTTTAATTTGTATACTAATGACTTGGTGAGGGTTAGCTTAAGAGACAAGTTCATTGCTAAGGAAGTCAAGGCTTTTTAATGAAGAAAAATACCACCTTATTAGTTGCAATGGAAACAATACTCTATTTCCTTCATCATTTCTGCACCAATAATTTTGCCCTCTTACTAACATGTGCTGATAGTTCCAAGATCTTTTAGTGTGGTAAGGCTGGTTCACCCTCATCCATGGCTGGTATTACAGACTGTAGTTGCTCATCTCTGTGTTTAAGAGGAAAAAGGCCTCCTTGTTTCCTTGAGTATCTGTGACTTAGTGCATTTGTATGCTACAATAGCATACCCCCAAATCAGCCCAATTTTGAATAGGTCAGGGTGGCTCAGACTCATGAAGATGATCTCCTATAAGGCAGAGATTGATAACTGGTAGGCTCTTTGGCTAGCTCTGAAGAGTCTATGGTTTCTATCGCATTGTGCGACTGTAGCACAAAGAGCATGTTTATTATTGATAGTTTGTGGTACAAATATAATACAAATGTAATTGAATAAAGGTTTTTTTTGTTTTGTTTTTGTTTTGTTTTTGTTTTTTTTTAGACAGAGTCTTGCTTTGTCACCAGGCTGGAGTCCAGTGGCGCGATCTGGGCTCACTGCAACCTCCGCCTCCTGGGTTCAAGCAATTCTCCTGCCTCAGCTTCCTAAGTAGCTGGGACTACAGGTGCCCACTACCACACCCAGCTAATTTTTGTATTTTTAGTAGAGATGGAGTTTCACCATGTTGGCCAGGATGGTCTTGATCTCTTGACCTCGTGATCCGCCCACCTCGGCCTCCCAAAGTGCTGGGATTACAGGTGTGAGCCACCGCGCCCAGCCTACATAAAGTCTTAACCAAAAGAAATCATTTGAATATAGGGTAACTCTTAAACATCATAGAAAACACTTTAGAAAATAGACATACCGATTCTACTTGTCCGAATAGCATTTACAAATCCACTGAACTATTTATTTTTAATAATTTTATTTTCTTTAAATAGGAAGTCATTAGAAGGTGTACATATTTCTTTTTAGCAGAAGGCCTTCCAATGGGCTATTCTATTCAACAATTCAAGAGGAATGTGATTTTTAAAAATAATGCCTTCTTCCCCATCCCGTAGTCAGAGGGCATAACCATTTAAGGAGTGAAGCTAATTTTATTGACTTTTTTTGTTTTATAGACTGCATTTACTACATTCAGCCCCAGGGTAATTACAGTCACACAAACCTTAAAAACAATTCCATCATGACTTTTAAGGACAAATTCTACCCACTTTCATTATAGAAACTGAACAGTATTCTTCCTCCTCTGAATTACCTTTGGAAAAAAAACATGTTTCTATGGTGAGTTTTGTGACATAATTTGCAAAATGTTGGCATTTGGGAATGAGGAAACAATTAGTTCTTGTCTTTATGTTAAAGTCATCTCTGTGAAACTCTATTCTCAGGTCCATGGCAATTAGGATGGCAAAATAGCTAATTTTTTTAATCAAAAAATAAGTCATTAAAGCCCATTTTCCCCTAAGTAAACACACACAACTTCTGGTTTTAGAGATGAACAATAATCAACTAAATAAAAAAAGAGTATTTATTTACTGCCTATGGTCACAAAGAATCAGGCTTTGATAGTGTGAGAGATGCAAAGAGAAAAGGAAGGTGATTTTTATCTTTTAAGAGATTAGTTTGAGGTTGGAAAAGAGCGAAGACAAGTAATTCTGAAATAAGGCCTGAGTTAAGCAGTGCTTCAATAGAGGAGTAAACATGCATCTGTATATCAAAATGAGTCAGAGACAGCTTAATGCTCCTCATACAAACTTGTGGTATTGGTTACCTACAATTTTTTAAAAATGAAACAAATATATTCTGTTTGTCAGACCTCATAAGAAAGCAGAAACAGCTCCCTTGGAAAACAGGGCTTTGTTATTTGCTCAAAAAAATACCTAGTGTGGTTCAAATACCTCCCTACACATCTGGGCGTCATGAGAGGTCTCTGGCCACCAAAACAATAGAATATGTCATGCTTCTATGTGGTTCAGTGGCCACAGAAGCTTGACAAACTCCTGACACCCTCTTTCCCTCAACATGGACACAATCTATTGTAGAATTTCAAATAATGGTCTGGGAACTTGGTAGGTAGAAAGAATTTTCTTCTTGTCCTTTACAACTTATTATTCACATGATTGTGTAATGACAAGGGGAAAAATACATAAAAGATGCCTGTTTATGAGAACTAAATTATTTCATGGTCAGTGGTAATTACGTGGCAAATTTTCTTCTCGCCCATGATTGACAGGGATTTTGTAGTTTGCAAATTGCAATTCTGGTTAGAAAATTAAGCAACATTACCAAAAGCTAAAATGTACTTAGAATTGTTTTAAAGGACAGTTACCTTAATATAATGGTTTGAACTAAGCTTTCTTGTCTGAAACCTGGTTTTTTTAATGGGAATACTAACTGAAAAAAGAAGCATTGTGTTTATACTAAATAAAGTCAAAAATTGGTTATAAGCATACTTTTCTTAGCCAATTCCTGAAATAACTGGCCCTTCAGAAGTGTAAAACATCATTGATAATTTTTGGAACACCAGAGAATGAATCAGCAATGCTCATGGATGATGAGAAGTGGGATAAAGTATCTTGAGCTGTTTTGGGGGGTATTTATGGTAATAATCCTATTATTTTGTTGCCATGAGGATTTAAAAATCTTCTTTCTTGTACTATACCAAGCATAGCATGCTAGAGGCCTATTCCAAAGAAATATTTTCTATCCTAACAGTCTAATTGGGTCAACCCAATTGTTAACCCAATCAACCTGAGACTGAGCAGGATTTTATGTAACAATAAAAAAAAAATAGACAGTTATCAAATGTTCCATTGATATGAAACCCTTACTTGTGTAGGGGTGTGACAAGAATAAAAATAACAAACACTTGTTGAAATTTATTTTGTGCAGGCAATTTTATAAATGCTTTACACATATTAACTATTAACATCCACTACAACAACCTCATGGGGGTAATGAAGATGAGAGTTTCTCTTTAATTTCCCAAAGTCCTACAGTTAGTAAGTGGCAAAACCAGGATTGAAACAAAAAAAATTGTATGCAAAACTTACGGTCTTAACTTACGTACCTGTGGTACATTGTTATTATAACAGGATTAAATAGTTTCCATTTGTCAGTGAGAAACAATTATGTGGGATATGTAGGATATTACGATATTTAGGAGACATTAAGGGTAGAAGGTTCTTGTTAACCTCACCTAACAAGATTCTTGCTGAATGCAAGCCAAGGACTTAAAAGTAGGGAATTAAAGGCGGGGAATGAGCAACTTCATCAGATATCAAGGGTGAGGAGATTCTCACTAAATTGTCTTAGCAGGTTTCTTGCTAAGGCTAGGTTAGGCAGGCCAAAGACAGGACAGGGCCAAGGTCAAGGCCTAGTTGAAAAGAGGGGTCAGTGGAGCCTGACTAATGCTTGAGCAAGCACAAGATTCTTGTTCAAGAGACAGTTTTCCTCTAAATACTATAAGTTTTCTTTCTTTCTTTTCTTTTTTCTTTTTTTTGAGAAAGGGTCTGGCTATGTTGCCCAGGCTGGAATGCAATGGCACAATTTTGGCTCACTGCAACCTCTGCGTCCTGGGTTCAAGCAATTCTCCTGCTTTAGCCTCCCAAGTATCTGGGACTATAGCTGCATGTCACTAAGCCCAGCTAATCTTTGTATTTTTTGTAGAGATGGAGTTTTGCCATGTTGCCGACTCTGGTCTCAAACTCCTGGGCTCAGGTGGCCCATCCACCTTCCCCTCCCAAAATGCTGGGATTACAGGTATGAGTGCCTGCACCTGGTCCTTTTGGTCCTCTCTTATCTATTAAGGAACAGCTGAACTATCTGTTGAGACGTGGTATTAGAGGATATTTGCTGGATGGTGTGAGCCATCAGGTACTCAATGACTGACATTTCTATGATGACAAAATAAAAACAAAAATGAAAGATTGTAGCCAACCACAACCCAGTTTCTGATTCTGAAGAGCAGCTGGTGAAGATGTCTGGATTTTAGGCCCAAAGCTTCTTTAAGTGGTCAGGTGAGGACGGTGAGATTTCTTGGTTGGAAGTTTTAATGTCTTTCATGTCATAGACATCAGTGACAGAGTAGTTATTTCTGGGAGAAGAGCATGGAAAATGCAGGTGTTTGGTAAACTTCTGAGCAGCCTGCACAATAGCAGAGATGAAATTTGCCCAATCTGTTGTAGTGATGAGCTCTTAAAGCTTATATTAAGCTGTTCAGCTTCACCTTTAAAGGCTTCTTTAGATCTTGGGGAGAAAGGTCAACTACAAGACAATTTAGAGTCCCAGTAAATTTCTGGGCAGTCAGGTTTTAGTTCTCAGAGATCTAAATCAGGAGAGTGGGAGAAAAACAGACAAATTTGAAATGGTAATTTGGAGTGTTGTAGAAAAATACTGAAGAAAAATACAAAATTGAGAATTTGGTGAGAACTGACAAAATGTGCACAACAGCAGGACCCAGTCTAATTTATAGTAGATAAAGAATAATAAAATGTAGCTTAACAAGACGGGAAAAACAGCTCATATTTAGGCTTAATATTAGGTCAATATTTCCTTGTCTTATTGAAAAGTAGGTTCTGTCTATGTAGCACCTAAGATGGCTGCAGGTTGAACTACACAGTACCAAATAAGAAATATATATGGAAAGAAAGATTGTGTTCAATTATGGACATATTGAATTTAAGGTATCTGGAACTTCCAAGTGAAGATGTACAGCTGACATTTAGTTAAACGAGTTCTCAGAAAGAAAGTAGAAGTTAACATTAAAAGCTTTGGAAAATTTTAGATTACTTTTCTGAGCTTCAGTTTTTTCATCTGCAAAATGGGGCTAATAAGAAGACTCACAGGAATGTTGTAAGGATTAAATATGACAATGTACATTCTTCACAGAATTAGAAGAAACTATTTTAAAATTCCTATGGAACCAAAAAAGAGCTCACATATCCAAGACAATCCTAATCAAAAGGAAAAAAGTTAGAGGCATCACACTACCAGACTTCAAACTATGCTACAAGGCTACAGTAATTAAAATGGATGGTACTGGTACAAAAACAGACACACAGACCAATGGAGCAGAATAGAGAGCTCAGAAATAAGACTGTACATCTACTACCATCTGATCTTCAATAAACCTGATGAAAACAATAGGAAAATAATTCACTAATGGTGCTGGGAGAACTGGCTAGCCGTACGCAGAAAATTGAAACTGGACCCCTTCCTTACACCTTATATGAAAAATAACTCAAGATGGATTAAAGACTTAAATGTAAAACCCAAAATTGTAACAACCCTAGAAGAAAATCTAGGCAACACCATTCAGGACATAGTCATTGGCAAAGACTTCGTGATGAAATCACCAAAAGCAATTGCAACAAAAACAAAAATTGACAAATGGGATCTAATTAAACTAAAGAGCTTCTGCACAGCAAAAGAAACTATAATCAGAGTGAACATGCAACCTACAGAGTGGGAGAAAATTTTTGCAACCTATCCATCTAACAAATGTCTAATATCCAAAATCTACAAGGAGCTTAAACAAATTTACAAGAAAAAAGCAAACAGCCCTATCAAAAAGTAGGCAAAGGACATGAACAGACACTTCTCAAAAGAAGACATTCATGCAGACAGCAAACATATGAAAAAAAAGTTCAACACCACTGATCATTAGAGAAAATGCAAATCAAAGCCACAATGAAATACCATCTCATGCCAGTCAGAATGGCTATAATTAAAAAGTCAAACAACAGATGCTGGCAAGGTTACAGAGAAGAGAAACACTTTTACACTGTTTGTGGGAATGTAAATTAGTTCAACCATTGTGAAAACAGTGTAGGGATTCTTCAACATCTACCACCAGAAATATCATTTGACCCAGCAATCCCATTACTGGGTATATACACAAAGGAATATAAATCATTCTATTACAAAGATACATGCATACATATGTTCACTGCATCACTATTCACAATAGCAAAAGACATAGTGATATGGTTTGGCTGTGTCCCCACCCAAATTGTAACTCCCAGAATTCCCATGTATCATAGGGGGAACCCGGTGGGAGGTGATTGAATTAGGGAGGTAGGTCTTTCCTGCACTGTTCTCATGGTAGTGGATGAGTCTCATAAGATTTGATGGTCTTAAAAAACAAAAGAGTTTCCTTGCATAAACTCTTCATGCCTGCCACCATCTATGTAAGATGTGACTTGTTTCTCCTTGCCTTCCGCTCTGATTATGAGGCCTCCCAGCCATATGGAACTGTAAGTCCAATTAAATCTTTATTTTGTAAATTGCCCAGTTTGGGTATGTTTTTATCAGCAGCATGAAAACGGACTAATACACTAAATTCGTACCAGGAGTGGGGTGTTTATGAAAAGATACCTGAAAATGTGGAAGTGACTTTGGAACTAGGTAACAGGCAGAGGTTGAAAGAGTTTGGAGGGCTCAGAAGAATGCAGGAACATATGAGAAAGTTTGGAACTTCCTAGAGACTTGTTGAATGGCTTTGATCAAAAGCCTGTTAGCAATATGGACAATAAGGTCCAGGCTGAGGTGGTCTCAGATAGAGATGAGCACCTTGTTGGGAACTGGAGCAAAGATGACTCTTGTTATGTTTTAGCAAAGAGACTGGCAGCATTTTGCCCCTGCCCTATGGATTTGAAGAACTTTGAACTTGAGAAAGATGATTTAGGGTATCTGGCAGAAGAAATTTCTAAGCAAAGCATTCAAGAGGCGACTTAGTTGCTGTTAAGGCATTCAGTTGAATATGGGAAGCAGAGCAGAAAAGTTTGGAAAATTTGTAGGCTGACAATGTGATAGAAAAGCAAAACCCATTTTTTCTGGGGAGAAATTTAAGCTGGCTATAGAAATTTGCATAAGTAATGAGGAGCCAAACATTAATCCCCAAGACAATGGGAAAAATGTGTCCAGGACATGTCAGAGATCTTCATGGTAGCCCCTCCTATCACAGGCCCAGAGGCCTACAAGAAAATGGTTTTGTGGGCTGGGCCCAGGGTCACTGTGCTATGTGCAGCCTAGGGACTCAGTGTCCTGAATCCCAGGCACTCCAGCTGCGGCTGAAAGGGGTCAACATAGAGCTCGGGCTGTGACTTCAGAGGGTGCAAGCCCAAACCTTGGCCACTTCCACATGGTATTGAGCCTGTGAGTGCACAGAAGTCAAGAATTGGGGTTTGGGAACCTCCACATAGATTTCAAAGGATAAATGGAAATACATGGATGCCCAGGCAGAAGTTTGCTGCAGGGGTGGGGCCCTCATGAATAACCACTGCAAAGGCAGTACAGAAGGGAAATGTGGGGTCAGAGCCCCTGCACAGAGTCCCTACTGGGGCACTGCCTAGTGGTACTGTGAGAGGAAGGCCACTGTCCTCCACTCCCCAGAATGGTAGATCCACTGACAGCTTGCACTGTGCACCTGGAAAAGCCTCAGACACTTTGATCAACATCAACCTGTGAAAGCAGCTGGGAGGGAGGCTGTATCCTGCAGAGCCAAAGGAGCAGAGCTGCTCAAGACCATGGAAACCCACCTCTTGCATCACCATGACCTGGATGTGAGACATGGAGTCAAAGGACATTATTCTCAGGCTTTAAGATTTGACTGTCCTGATGAATTTCAGACTTGCATGAGGCCTGTAGCCCCTTTGTTTTGGCCAATTTTTCACATTTGGAGCAGCTGTATTTGCCCAATGCCTGTACCCCCATTGTATCTAGGAAGTAACTAACTTGATCTTGATTTTACAGGCTCATAGGTGGAAGGGACTTGCCTTGTCTCAGGTTAATGCTGAAATGAGTTAAGGCTTTGGGGGGACTGTTGGGAAGGCATGATTGGTTTCAAAATGTGAGGACGTGAGATTTGGGAGGGTCCAGGAGTAGAGTGTTAGGAGGTTTGGCTGTGTCCCCACACAAATCACATTGTTCCTCCCACAATTCTCACGTATCATGGGAAGAAACCAGTGGGAGGTGATTGAGTCATGGGGGTGGGTCTTTCCTGCACTGTTCTCATGATAGTGAATGAGTCTTATGAGATCTGATGGTTTAAAAAAAAAAAAAAGCAGTTTCCCTGCACAAATGCTCTTTTTGTCTGACGCCATCCATGTAAGATGTGACTTCCTCCTCCTTGCCTTCCGCCATGATTGTGAGGACTCCCCAGCCATATGGAACTTTAAGTCAAATTAAACTTCTTTCTTTGTAAATTGCCCAGTCTTGGGTATGTCTTTATCAGAAGCATGAAAACGGACCAATACATGTGGAATCAACCCAAATGCTCATCAATCATAGACTGGATAAAGAAAATGTGGAACATATACACCATGGAATACTATGCAGCCATGAAAAGGAATGAGATCATGTCCTTTGCAGGGACATGGATGGAGCTGGAAGCCATTATCCTCAGCAAACTAACACAGGAACAGAAAACGAAACACTCCATATTCTCACTTATATGTGGGAGCTGATTGATGAGAACACATGGACACAGTGAGGGGAACAACACACACTGGGGCCTGTAGTGGGGTGGGGTGCAGGAAGGGAGAGCATTAGGCAAAAGAGCTAATGCACTCAGGGCTCAATACCAAGGTGATGGGTTGACAGGTACAGCAAACCACCGTGGCACACCTTTACCTCTGTAACAAACCAGTACATCCTACACATGTACCCCAGAACTTAAAATGAAAAAATTAAATAAATAATTTAGTAAAATACCTCATATATAGCAAGAATTTAATTACGCTTATCCATCATCTTTAACATTCTAATCATGACCTATCAGCAATAAATTAGTGCTACTATATATAATTCTTTAGATAGGTGTCAGTCTGCAAATTGTTACCTGTCCATGATGAGACAAGTTCTAAAATTGAGAATAAGCACTTATATAACTTTATAGCAATTTGCAAGTAATTTTATGCCTATTAAATCTAATAATAAAAAGGCTTACATTTTGTATGCCTTTGATTTTTTATTTCATTTTTATAGTAATCTATATTTACTATATTTTGCAAAAATATCAATCTGTGGTAGATTTAAGGGAGACAAAAAAGTAACAACTGTCCTTTATCAGTCTAGAAATACCGATCTAGACCTCAGGTAGAAATCAGGGACCCATTTGTATACTAATTCTTCTAACTGGCCAAGAATTGTTGGCCTGGACTTACCACAATAACACAGCTAAAATCCAGCGTTTTCTTGCCCACAATAGGTTTTTCTCCTCTCTTTACAATGTTTGTTTTATCTTTCACAGGATGTCTATGACCTATACATATATCTCCAGGGCACACTGTAAGGAGTGTTTCTCAATTTTTCCTTGTTTTTATTTTGCCACAAAGTTTTATGAAAGTTTGCTGTAAACACTCCCATCCAATCCTGATGAAATAACAATCATGGACCATTTGGTGAAGTATTACAGGGCCTTTTGCTGTCAACTTGGCTCACACTGCAGAGTACCTTGAAAACTTAAACTCGCCTTGTAGAGTGCATTTGTGACAAATTACAGCGTTCCATATCTTAAGCAGATGAGTGAATATAATTGTGAAATGACTTAAATTCTACTTACACAATTACTGAAAATGGAATTCTAAGTCAATCCACTGTTATTTCTTCTCTGTACTACTAACAGTGAGTTTGACTTTCTTTCCCCTTAATCAACTGGTTATGGCATTCTGTATGCAGAGTCTTAATAACTCCTTCATGGGTATAAGTAATCAGAACTGCATATTGATTAAATTTCAATTATAATGAAACAAGATTTTAAGAAATCCCAGAGGAGGGTTTTCTGAATCAAGACAATTAAGGCTTTTATTGAACTTCAGAGATTTATAATATTCTGACATGCTTCTTTTCTCCTGAGTGATTGATGTGACTCATAATTTAAAAGGGAAACAAAGGAAATATGTTTTTTTCAATCTGCAATAAACTACAGTTTCACTTGTACTAAATTATCTCTTTTTAAATAAGGGTTTTTAGAATTCTTTTTTCTTTCTTACTATGAGCTTGTAGTGTTTTATCTGTGCGATACTTTAGTGTCTTCACACTTTGCATTTTCTTAACAGATTTGTTTCTAACAAAAACTTGAAACACTTTTGATCTCAGATTTCATTATTATCCACTGAAGCTTCTTAGTCCCCTTTTCACAGCACAGCAGTTTCTTGCAGGAAACAGAAAAGCGTGATTATGTTTAGCAGAAAGATTCAAACTCCTTGATGAATTTAGTGTGATCTTAGGTATTTAACAAAGTCTTTGTGTTTGAGTGTCCTTTCATGCCATCTGGGAATAATGCTGGTCCTAATGATTTCACTAGTGGCTTTGTGTGAAGATTACATTATATGTTAGATGATAAAATTGGTAGGAACATGCATTAAAAGTATTCAAAATGCAGAATATTATAATAGTTTCTTATCAAAGAGACTCTAGAGAAGTATTTTTTTTCTTGCAAGGAATACATAAATCAATGCTGAGCAAGCAATGTAGGTTTTGATGACCTTGTAGAATGTAGGCAATGCATTAATAAGGAGGTGCTGCGCAAAGGTTGGATCTTTGCTCTCATTACACTTTTACAACTTTGAAGCTTCTGCCACCCTTTTGTTAAATCCTTGTCCCCATGGCTTTAATCATGGCCTTTAAAAAAAATCAACTCCACAGTCACTCCTCCTGTCCGGGGAGGTAAGGGGAGATTCTTTGTTATAAAAATTTAGCTTACCTAAAGTGCAGAATCCCATTTAGGGATCTATAATTACTTAAAATTTACTTACTTTTTTTTCCCCGGGTGGGCATCAATTCCTACTTTCTCAGAGTGTTAGTAGTTCGACTGTAATGTAATTGCAACAGAAGCTCCGAAAATCATGTGGGAAGCTTTAGAGTTGAGATGACCCTTCAGAGATTTTCTAAAGTGGCCTGAACCTTTGCACCATGGCACTGGCCAGTTGTTGGGTGAGACCTGCCTCTAGGAAGAAAGTACAAACTTGGATGAGGCAATTTCCTTCAGCCAAAGAAAATTATTAGAAAGAGACCCAGTTATTAGCAGCCAATACTCCCAGAAACTAGGGAATGGGTATTTTTTACTTCAGACGATATCTGAGTGACACCTTATTGCATTCATTATAGGGAGGTATTGGGAATTTTCAAGCAAAATGTTGAAATTATCTTTTCTCATAAGCATTATTCTGGTTTCTGTATGAATAAGTAGGGTATCAAAAATAGAAATAGTGGGACCCCTTTCGGGGCCATTTTAATCATCAAGGCAAGAGAAATGGTGGTTTGGATGGAGATGGTAGCAATGGAGGTGGTGAGAAATGGTAAAACATGAATATATTTTGATATAGAGCCAGTAAGATTTAGAGATAACTGGATGTGGCAAGTGAACAAAAATGACATGGCTGACTCCAAAGTTTATGAGCCAGCTGAGTAGACGGAATTGTTATCTGAGAATGGGAAGACTGCAGGTGTAGCACATTTAAGAAGGACGTTCAGGGAAACCATCTGGGACATCCAAGTAGAGATGTAAAAAGACAGTTATACATATGAGTTTGAGAAATAGGTCAAGGTTGATTATATTTATTTGCAGTCAGTGAGGGCTTCTTGCTGCTAAGCTGAAGAAAGTGGTCTTTATTTTACTATTATATGATTTCAAAACATTCAAGGACTCCCCGTTGAGTCGTTCAAACTTAAACGTTTTAGGCTAGAAATTCTTAATTCGAGTAAACTTAACATTTGCATAATTTTAGTTTAAATATAAGGAAAATATGGAGAATACTACCAACATCTGTATCTGCCATCTAATTTTAACAAATCCTTATATTTTCTGTTTTATATTTAGATTACATTTTTTTCTCCTGTTATTGCTCTTTTTACAGCTACAGTTGGTTATGCCTTTGATGCTTTCCCAATCTCATTCCATCCTTTATTCCAGAGGTAACCACTATTTTGGATGTGTAGTTTACTGTCCTCATAAATATTTTTAACACTTGCCAGTGATATATATGCAGCTGTAAGAAGCAAACTATATGCATGAATGTATATTATATACAATATATCATACTCTATTATAATCTCCATATTACATTTTGTATGAGTAATATCACAGTATATTTTCTGTCTGCAACTTTGTTTATTTAACATTGCTTTTTTGTTTCGAGATTTATCTAGCTCAATAGGTAATGACCCTAGGTATAGATATGAATGTAGCTCTGTAGCTCTGTCATTTACATTGCTGCTTTATGGCAATCCACCGTGTGGCCTTAACCACAATATATTTATCCATTCTCCTATCATGAATATTGAGATGTTTCTAATTTTTCACCATTACAAATCATGATGTGAAAAATACTCCTTGATATAACTCCTTGCTTACTTTTCTGAGCTTTTTAGGAATAAGAGAATTGCTTGGTGGAAGGAAGTTATACATCTTCTGTTCTAGAAGGTATTACCATAGTACTCATTAATAAGAGCTATACCAATTTACCCTCTCCACAGTAAAGTGAGTTCCAGTTTCTCTCTATTTTCAAACATATAAAAGGACACATCAGCATGATGTGATATATTATTGTTTTCATTTTTTATATTTCAAGTGAAATTGAGCATATGTCCATTTTTTCTATTTGCATTTTATCTTCTGTGAATTGTCTATTCATAATCTCTGTCCATTTATTGTATTTATTTCCTATTGATTTATAGGATGTAGGGGAGAAAGAGATATTTACATACTTTGAACACAAAATATTGGCAGTGTTGTGCACTGCTATTATTGTCACTTTCAATATCACTTGCAGTCTTTACCTATCTATGTATTACGTAAATGTTTTGCTTTTACATAACTATTTCAATAAATCAATCTTTGCTCCTACATTCTATGCTTTTACTGTCCAATTTGTTCTCAATGTTCTGGTCATTAAAATTGCTTTTATATATTTAGAAAAGTGTTTTTAAAAGTTTGCTTCTTATAATTAGATACTTAATATGTGTGTAGATTATTTTTGTATACTGTGTAAAGCACATATGCATATAAATTATGAATTATTCCAGCATTATTAATGAAATAATTTTACTTCTGGTATGTTACTGTTACGGGATTCCTGGGGTGTCTTCTCACCAGATGGAAACCTCTGTGGCCAGTGGCACCTTTGCTTGAGTTTTGCTCTGGCATGCTGGGCTCATTCTGCCCACTTGGGCTATCAGGCTGTGCTCAGCTCGCAATACTGGCCAGGATCCCATGCCTGCCAAGGGCAAGCCAGATGCAGAGCAGCAAGGGGTGTGTGAACAAGCATGGGCTCTGGCCACTGCACACAGCCAGACACATCAGCTGTGGTGGGGCGGGCAGCTCCAGGCACCAACATGGGTGTCAGCTCCCTGCAAGGCTGTGGCTGGACCAGAGTTAACCATGAACAGCTTCTATTGACTCTGCAGAATCTGGTGGCACCTGGAAGCTTGGAGATGCCAGGAACCACAGAGCCCTAAAGAGAGTGTGTGTCACAGCCCTCACTCAGGGAGCTCCTAGGTCTGAGCTCCCCAAAGGGCTGCAACTCTTCTCTTCTTTCTTGTCATCTGCAAGGTGATGTGCAAGAGGCGTGTTTCAGCCCTGTTTGTGTTACAGCTCTTTTAGCCCTGCCATTTGGTGGGTCCCCAGTTCTTGTCCTGTGTCCAGTCCAGGAAGAATGAGGTACATAGACAACTGGAGGGTGAGCAAGATGAAGAGGAGCTTTATTGAACAATAGAACACCTCAGAGGAGACCCACAGTGGATAGCTCCTCTTCATTGGCAAGATGTCCCAACCAGTGTTTAGCTCTTAGCAGAGAGAGTAGCTCCTCTCTGTAGCTGGTTGTCCTGTTGTCTCTTCAAGTCTGGCTGAGTCCAGGGTTTTTATGGGTCTTAGGGGAGATAGTGGTGCCTGTTGTTCCATAGGTGGCCATGGTGGGCCTGGAAAAGCACAGCAAGTTCCCAGTCTGCAGGACCAGCAGCCCAGTCGACCGCCCCCCATCCTACCATGGTGGAGCCTCTGGGCTTGGGAGAAGGTCCTGCCCAGCTGTGCGAGGGTGAGAGTGATACAGTCAGCTGCATCGGGGATGTGGGGCACAGGGGTCCCACCACCACAACTGCTGCTCCTATAGCCAGCACCCACACCTCCCCGCTGCAGCTGGAGTGATGGCAGTGGCCACTCCAGATGACCTGCCATTCCCATCATTATCAAGTTTTAAGATACTCATGAGTCTTTTTTTCTGCACTTACTATTCTGATTACTGGTCAATTTGTCTATGTGCCAGTTATACTATTTTAATTATAATGTCATAAATTTTGGTATATAGTAGGTAAGTTTCCTCCCTTCATTCCTATTCTTTAAAATTTTCTTTGCTGCTCTTGATCTTGTAGTGATAGATGGATAGATAGATAGATAGATAGATAGATAGATAGATACTCATAAAGTTTCATGAAAGACACTATTGGGATTTTAATGTAACTTGTATTAGCTTAGTTTAATATTTTAATTAGGAAAACACCAGTAAGTTTATACTATTTCATCTTCTCATCCATGATTCTAGGATTATAGCAGGTCCTTGAATAACATCGCTTTGTTCAACATCTTTTATTATAACTTTGAGAAAAATAGGAATGATTTCCAGCACTGGCCCCTGTCTGTGTGGTTTGCATGTTAGCTTCATGTCTGTGTGGATTTTCTCTGGGTATTCCACTTGCCTTACACATCCCAAAGATGTGTGTGTGAAGCGAACTGGCATATGAATGTGGTCCCAGTCTGAGTGAATCGGGAGGAGGGGTGTGTGAGCATGCAATGGGATGGCATCCCGTCCAGGATGGGCGCCTGCCCTGTGCCCTGAGCTGCTGGGACAGCCTCCCAGGATGGGCTCCTTCAACTTGAATAAGCAGACTGGAAGGTGAATGAATGAATGTTAATTATTGTGAAAGTAAATTTCATAAAGATAATCATGCAAATGCATGACAATAAACAATGTGCCATGAAAGCATTCAGCTTGAGTAAATAATTACCTTGTTTTTCTTAACCTTTCTTAAATATACATATAACTCATATTAATATCAGTGATTAATATTAGAAGTATTTTGGGTCTTTATTTAGAATTTTGGTGATCTTATGACCAGAATTATGACACAGAAACTTTATTACTTATATCAATTAGTCTATGGTAAAATTGGTTTTGTTTTATACATTGTTTCCTTTAACAGTCACAGTTTCCAAGAACCTACTGATGTTAACTGAGGACTTACTCTGCATGATATCTCTGCATTTATTAATGGCTTTTGCATGTCCATCAATAATATTTTATAACATTCTCTGTAAAGGCTTGTGTCATTTTTTTGTTTTTTTTTTCTGTGTATCTTAATTTTATTATTTTTAATGTTATTGTGAATGATCTTTTTTAAAATAGAAGCCATAACCTTAGGCAGTAGTCAATTAATAACTACACTTACATCCTTGAGGAATCGCCACACTATCTTCACCATGGTTGAAGTAATTTACACTCCCACCAACAGTGTAAAAGTGTTTCTATTTCTCCACATCCTCTCCAGCATCTGGTGTTTCCTGACTTTTTAATGATTGCCATTCTAATTGGCATGAGTTGGTATCTCATCGCGGTTTTGATTTGCATTTCTCTAGTGACAAGTGATGATGAGCTTTTTTCATATGTTTGTTGGCTGCATAAGTGTCTTGGATCTAGAACCAGAAATACCATTTGACCCAGCAGTCCCATTACTGGGCATATACCCAAAGGGTTATAAATCATTCTACTATAAAGACACATGTACAAATATGTTTATTGCAGCACTATTCACAATAGCAAAGACTTGGAACCAATGCAAATGCCCATCAATGATAGACTGGATAAAGAAAATCTGGCCCATATACACCATGGAATACCATGCAGCCATAAAAAAGGATGAGTTCAGGTCCTTTACAGGGACATGGATGAAACTGGAAACCATCATTCTCAGCAAGCTAAACACAGGAATAGAAAACCAAACACCGCGTGTTCTCACTCATAAGTGAGACTTTAACAATGAGAACACATGGGCACAAGGAGGGGAATATCACACACTAGGGCCTGTTGGGTCGGGGGGAGGGGTGCTAGGAGAGGGATAGCATTAGGAGAAATACCTAATATAGATGATGGGTTGATGGCTGCAGCAAACCACCCTGGCACATGTATACCTATGTAACCTACACGTTCTGTACATGTATCCCAGAACTTAAAGTATTAAAAAAAAAAGATTTAAAAAATTTATCTTTGCTCCATGTACCAACGTGGGGAAAAAGACAGTTTTGTGATGAATAAAATGAAAAAAAAAACTATACTTACAAAAAGCCTTCTTACATGATAATTACATGTTTACAAGTCGGTTCCACAAGTCAATTATCTCAATGGATGCCATACAATTTGTAGGTCTTCGATAAATGTCAGATGGTTGGATGAATGACTCAATTACTATATTTCAATTACTCTTTCTGTATATCATCAAGAACTCCTTTGTGGTCCATTTCTGTCTGCTTTTTCCTAATCTATCAAATGAGGTTAGTGAGAAATTAAAGCTGTCAGGGTCTGTGGCAGGTTATAGATTCTCTTGACTCTGCAGCATTGGACTTGACTGTCTAGAGTTTCTTTCTCAGCACTTAGGATTCACTGTTTGAAGTTGCTCAGGTCTCCAGTTCTGTGGTGTTAAAAGAAACTGCTACCTTTATAAATTCCTTGTGCTGACTTACTCTTTCTTAAGATGAACATGTTTAGAGGTGGCCGCACTGCCAATCAAGGGCAAGCTGTGAAACAAAAATGATCTGAGCCTGCACATGCAAACACTAAATCTTTAGATGGTTCTCCAAATCTTTCTGACAAATAGATTGTTTCCAGATTTATTTTGTACTGGCCCTGTTGCAAGTAATCTCTGGGGAGGTCTGTCTACTTATCATGTAGAGCTTTTTGACTCAAGAATTCTTCTAGAACAAGGATAATATTAAACAGAAAAAAAAGAAATCACAGTGATGAGGGATTTGGATGTGCAATTTAAATAAAATTGCAAGAACAGGCATTGATTTATTCTGAATGTCCTTTCAGTGTTGGACAAAGACCTTCTCATGCTCAAGGATTTTGGTTTTTATGGGGCACTTGTATTATGAATAAAATATTTCTTGGTGTTCTAGTAATAATACACTAAGTTTGAAAAGAGGCTACTTATCAAAATCTTAGTGCTTTATTTTTCTTTTTTAAACCTAACTTTTTGTTTTTCTGCCTAATATGCCGTCTCAGGAAGGTCAAGTTGCCAACCTACATTTTTTTAGTCTCTGTCACTTGGATTGAGTGTTTTTCACTAATCCTGTTCCAGATGAATTTGAGCTGTATATCCTCATTTTATTCTTCCATTTCACTGCAAGAGATAATTAAAAGTGCTCTGATGCAGATAAGAAAAAGGCATAGTACAGTACACTTCCCCAAACCATGAATATTCTCTTTTCCAAGATGGAAGAGAAAAATATTAAGGTAGTCGTGGTGTACAAGCCTGAAGCTAAGTATGTATCTATTTTCTTTAAATAGCCCAGGGAGCGGAGTCAACTTACTTTGGGAAATAATAAATGATTTTTAAAAACAATGCTGACAATCTTATCAATATCACCATAATAAGTAATATTGAATACATATATTCCAGGAGCTATCTACATTATCTCACTTAATACCCACAAATATCCTATAGATGGATACTTTTACCATCATTTTACAAATAATAAACTAAGACATAAAAAAGCCAAATAGTCTTCCTAAGATCACATAGCTAATAGGTGATTTTAGCATCAAACTTATGTTTTTCTGACTTTTAAACCAGTGCTTTTAATTACTGCACTGTATATTTTGCTCACTATAATAGTGGTAAGACTGTGTAGAAAAGGAATGCAAAAACATTATATATTTCACATGAATGAAACGAGATCATATAGATCATACTTATTTCTATAAAATAGAATAGTTTGGTTCATTTAACCTTTTTTTTTGTAGAGACTGAGATTCAATTCCATATTGAGCACAAGATAAAATACAATTGGATGTCATTATAGACAGGTTGGAGTCTTCCCATTGAGAGTGTCCTAAAGCCCACTGAAAAGGATATCCTGTGTATTAATAACAAATATCATTTGCAATTCTTTTGACCAGTGTGCCTTTTTCAGGATCTACCTGCCATTTTCTTTCTTTCTTATTTCCTTATTTCATCTTTATTTTTTCCTTTTTCTCTCTCTCTTTTTTTTTTTTTTTAAAAAAAAACTATGGCTAGTGTTGATGTACCTTCCAAAAGCAAAGGATACTTATTTTGGTTATTAAGTCTGTGCTCCAAAGGGGTGTGATTCCACTCTTGATCTACTAGAGGCAATTTTTCATGGTGTCTGAAATCAAGAACTTACTGTCCTCCTGCTAGTCTCTTTCTATGTTTACTACTTCTGAAGATTTTCATGTTTGCTATTCACAAGCTTTTCGTTACTGAGCTGGCTGGATTATGTACTAAGCTAGATGCCTGCATCATCCTGGCTCCTCTGGAGGGATTAAAATAAACTCAAAAGCAGCCATACAATAAGGGATCAGTGTGTCTGGAGTACAGGAACTATCTGCTAAGAACTTCCTATTTCTCTCTCCGTCCTCCCTCTCCCTGGGAAGATTGTTTACTGTAGCTGAGAGGGATGTTGCAGGCACAGAAACTTGATTTACTGAAAAGGTTTAACACAAATCTTCCCTTTGGTAGGATTAGTTGCACTTGTAACATTGGCAGAAAAGTCACCATGAAGTAACTATGCAATTGGTAGAAGGGCCCAGACAAGGGGACGGATAATCAATTTTCAAGTGAGTATCTGAAAAAGCTATCCCCAGTTATAAATTATGCTTAGAAGAATATTCAAGACAAGAAAACAATTTTAGCACGTGTTTCAAGGTAGAAATTGGTTATTAACTCTAGTTACAACTTTAATCACTAGGACACTGATAATTCAAAGCCATCTCTATATTTGGTTAGCTTCAGTTGCTTTGCTAAGCATCCTTTTCAGAAATTAATACAATCATCACATCCAATATTCAATAGTAAAGGAGATAATACTGTACTGTATATGTACGTGCTACTTAGAGGCTAGAATTTGTATGAATTATCAGTAGTTTAACGCAAGTTCTTAATTTCTGAAGTCAAATACAATGCTTTGGGGAATCAGACACTTTTGGCATCAAGCAAAAATTTAGAATACTGGCTAATGCTTACAAGGTTAGACTGGAGTCTGATTCTTTAACTTTGCTTTGCTCAAGAAATAGGGAAACCTATTCTTGATATAAAATCCTCAATTTATTAGAAACACCTCATAAAAGATGACCAGTCACCATTCCATTTTCAGGCTCATGACATATTAAGTATATGATTAAAAACAAAAGGAAAGATATTTTTAAAGCCCCAATATTTAAAAAACGAAAGCGTTGTCTTCTGAAAATTATTTGGCTGAATTTAAAAGGTAAAAAATGAAGACAGGGAAACTGATTCACAAGATGCCAGGGATGAAAAATTTTATGGTATCAAGATGCATGATAATCTCTCTAAACTTTTCCTTCAACTTCTCATTAAAAATTATCCCTGATTGAAAATGAATTCTACAAGTGCTGTTTTGTAATTATTATTGATTATCCTCCCCTCAAAAAATATCCTTCATTTACTTCCAAATATCCTGATTACTCTTGGGGTTGAGTTATAATGATGTGCCCTCGGGACCCTGGCTTCAGGAGGTTGTGCCTCCGTGGGGCACTCTGAACTAAGAGAGGAAGGGAGAGGGACTTGCCTCTCTGTTCAAATCTTTGGGTGAGAAGTTTATAGGACCACCAAGGTCTGCTGTTTCCCTTTTTACTTTGAGTTCTTGAAGCTATTTGGGGAATAGAGCTTAATTCAATAGCAAAAGAAGTTCTATGAACTTTAAAGAGTAACTTCCCTTAACATCTAATATTCCTCCTTTTGTAAGAGCTTCCTCTTTTATGCCTAATTTTTTTTCGTTGTACATTCATACGTCTCTTATTTTATTTTCTTATAGAATACTTAACCCATGCTTTTAAAGTCATGAATACAATACCTTGTTGACAGGAACACTAAGAAAGCCTTGAAGAGCTAGATGACATTAGTTTCATCAAGATTCTTTATTCACATTCAAAACATCATCAGTTATTAAATATTTGAGGAGTTTACAATGTTAAGCTGTAAGCAGTCCTCTTATTTCCATTGCAAACAATTTTTTCTACGACCAGGAAATTTTTAATCATTTATATTAATACACACAGGCCTCAAAATAAATACAAGCATTTGTGTTATGGCCTGTGTTGATTTTTAATTTGCTTTTTACAACAGAAATAATCAAAATGAATTTTTAAATAGTTATTGGCCTTTAGCATTGATGTGTACAATTATTTACAATTTTCTGGACCGTGTAGGTGATCAGCAAGTGTGTGTTTTTAATTATTCTGCAAAAGGAATATTAAATTGGAAGGAAATGGCCAGCTTGACATGCATCATGCAGTTTATTTCAGCCTCATTACCTGAACTATTAGATTGCAAGTAAAGAATAGTTAAATACCTATTTGTTATCTAATTGCTAAAGAAGCCTGAAAAATTTAAGTTGTTGGCTCGCTGAAAAAAATAAGATAAATTGAGAAGTAACTGAATGATTGATTCATCTCCTCCAGGGAAAAAAAATAAAACGTGTCAAATACAGTTATAGAAAATTGATGTTTTATGTAACTCCTTTTGAAGTAGAAATTAAATTTCCTTAAAAGGTTATATTAAAAAGAAGATGGCATGGGACCATGAACCAACACACACCATTACTCTAATAAATCTGGGGGAAAATACATTTTTGAAAACTTTTCTGAAGTGTGATATTAAATTGATTTATTCAGTCCTAAGCAGTAATTATAGAATGTGCTTATCTAGAAACCCTCTGCTTCTATTGATCCTCATGTCTTCTGATGAAAAGCTCATAATTCATTACATTCTTGAAGGTTAGAATTGTTAGAATTATTTACGATCCATGGTCCTAGGTGCTGGTAACTAAGGTAGTTGGAGTGACAATTTTACAGTGTAGCATACTGGCTGTTTTTCTGAGTCAAGTTAGTAGCTGATGGATCCAGGCAATGTACACAAACAATGCAGGTTTCCTATGAAATTTTGGAGACTCATTGTGTCTGGAAACTAAGGAATCTTTAAGAATGTTAGGTGTTTTGATGGTTTTCCTCTGTGTTGCTTTGTTGGTTAAGGGGGACTAACCTTCACTGTATCTGCTTGCTTAGATTTGCAAAATACGGTGAACTTACAGTCCTCTGGAAATACAGATCTATAGATTTCTGTTGTATGTGCCCTAGGGAGGCATAGCTCTAAGCAGTGTAGTGAAAAGGACATGAAGTGTTAAAGCACTTACCTAGTCAAATTCCTGTTTTCAGTGGCTATACTCTGTGACTTAAATCTGGACTAGCTTTTGCTTTTTATTTTAGAATTAATATTGCGTCTTGCAATCACTCTCAAATGTGTTCCTTCTCCCCATTTCCTATTTCTGTTGATGGCACCCAAGTTGGTCCAGTCACCTAGCACTTAAGCATGGAGGCTTCTTTGACTCTTTTTGCTCTCTAACCCTCTTATTCAGTTAGTCACAGTGTCCCATCAAGTCTGACCCCACACGTGTGTCTCCCATCTGTTCTTTCCCCCACCCCCCCCCCCGCCGCATTCCCACTGTGACAGTTACTTGTTTCAGGACTTCATTACATCTCATTTGGAAGTAACAATCTTCTTTAAAATGTGCTCCCTGATTTCAGTCTCTTCCACAGCCAATCCTTCCTGCTGCCAAATTAATCTTCCTGAAGCACTACTCTAATTATGTCATTCTCTAGCTCAAAAACTTTTAATGGCTCCCCTTTGACTCATAAATTACATTTAAATTCTTTCACTTGGCAATCATGACTCTGGGCGATTTGAACACACTAACCTCACCTTTGAACTTTTCCAACCATTATTCCACAACTTGGTCTTGTCAACCAGTTTCTAGACTTTGGCATTTCTTGCACATGATGATGATGATGATGATGATGATGATGATGATGATTATTGCTCTGTGCTTTGGACATATCCTCAATAATGTCAATAAAGTATTAAAATATATACAAGTGTCATCACTATAACTGTCATTATTGTTTGATGAAATAAAGATGGCTTTAACTTAAAACATAGATTACAAATGTGGAAATAATCATTGTTTTTAAAATGAACCAATTTGTCTTTATAAAACACTATTTTATATATTGCCAAGAACCTATGGATAACTACCATAATGGTGTAGAAACTGCAGTACCAGATTACTTAGCAAACACATCTTGTGCCTTCCCGGCTTTGGTGATGTTCTTCTATATGTTGGAAGTGTTTCAAGGGCAGGGATTGTGTCTCATTTTTCTTTGGATTGCCAGAGCCCCATGTGCATGAGAGAACCTTGACATTCTCAGCACAGCTGCTGGCTCATATCCAATAAGCTGAACCACGTGTTGTTCCTAAGGGTGTTCTACCATGAAGGATCCTGTGGTCATTCAGTATTAAATAAATATAGCCAAAATCTGGACTCTTCACTGAGCCGTGAATGAGAAACAAGAACTGGGAGAGCAAAAGAAATAAATAAAGAAAAAAATGAAGAGCAATACGTTGCTGTTTCAAGTGCCTGTTTCATTCCATGGACTTGATTATTTTGAGAGTTGAATCATTTTATACTATTTAGATGGGGATTTCTAGCTAGAGTACATGTTTTTCAAATGATTAGGACACATATACTCATAATAGATGATAATATGTGAAATTGGTGTTGTCCGAAAAATCAGGAATGTCATAAATTGAGGATCCACAATCTTTTTCTGAAAAAGACCATAGTAAGTATTTTAGGCACCATGGGCCAAACACCATTCTATCTACTCAGCTTGGCTGTTGTAGAGTGAAAGCAGCCATAGACAGTACATAAATGAATGGGCATGGCTGTGTTCCAACATAACTTTAAGAGCCCTGAAATTTGAATTTCACATAATCTTTAGACATAAAATATTCTTCTTTTAAATATTTTTCAGCAATTTAACTGCAAACAAAACAAAACAAAAAACCATAAAAACAAAACCTTCTTAGCTCAAGGGCCATATCCAATTAGCAGGCCAGATTTGGCCCATGGGTCTTGGATTACCAACACCAGTTACAGATGCAGTTCCAGCTCACATGGGTGAATACATTGTTTCTAATTATAAAAAGGCCTAGGTGTCTTAGTCCATTTTGTGTTGCTATAAAGGAACACCTGAGACTGGATAATTTGTCAAGAAAAAAGGTTTATTTGGCTCATGATCTGCTGGTTAGAAGACTGGGTGTCTCAGGCTGCTTCCACTCTTGGTGGAAGGCGAAGGGGAGCCAGTTTGTGCAGAGATCACCTAGCAAGAAAGGAAGCAAGAGAGCAGAGCAAGTTGAGAGAGAAGTGCCATGCTCTTTTCAGCAGACAGTTGTCATGGAAACTAACAGAATGAAAACTCACTCACCCCACCAGGAGGGCATTAATCTATTCATGAGGGTTCGACCTCCATGATCCAAACATCTCCCACTAGGTCCTACCTCCCAACACTACCATACTAGTGATTACATTTTAACATAAGATTTGGAGGGGACAAACACCTAAAGTATAGCAATAAAGGTTATTTTAGTTTCAATATAGTCAATTTAAAATGGTTTAGCCTAGTTATTTGATAGCAAGGTTATAACTGGAGCTTTCTCTAACTATTTCTGAAATGTTTCTTAAATATATGAACTCCATTTAGTAATCTGTCTACAGGGGAGAGTGGAGGGAAATTTTTTATTTTTTTCCTCATGAACGGTATTTAAATATCTGATTTGTTTTCTATGGACCAGGGCCTTAGGTAAAGTTGATGATGTGGAAAGACTAACTTGGGCTGTAGGGGCAAGACTGTCTTAAATTATGCTTTGGATTTGTTTGGTTCTGTGTTTTATATTCAAAGACTCTCAAGTGATTTGATAGTCCATCTCCAAAAGAAATATATTGTATCTAGACTTTAAATATTCACCACAGGCAGAAGAGACCTGACAGGAATTTCTATTACATTTTTTATGGTAAAAGTCCGCCATGTTTTCCTTTCTAGTTGAAGGTTTTCATACTTTTTAAGGGTGCATTTTTAGGCAGTAACTTGTCTTTTTACATACCCTTCTCCTGACAATGTTTTCCTTGCGGCCTTCTGTTCCATTTTAGGTGAGCAGATCTAATTCAGCCTTGAAATATTAATTGTAGTCTCTGGTGAAAGGATAAACTTTCATGCCTTAAGGATATCTGTAAAAATACAGACATAAAATGTGATTCTCTTTACTGTCCCATAGGGTTCAGCTCTCAATGCTTTCAAAGTCTTAGAAGCTAAAGGAACCCTTCTCTTTGGTTTTAGATTATGGCTTAGGTTAACAATTCTCCATCATTAAGTGTTTAAATTTTTAGGCTATTTAAAAACTTTTGTGAACTATTTCATATTGCAGAAGACCTATGCTTAATAAAACAAGCAGCAGGTTACATAAGGAAAGCAAACCACCTCATTCATATTTTCTCATTTTTTCCCTATACTTTCTCTTCCACCACAACCTTTCTCTAAATCTTTCTGTTCAAATTCATGCATATGGAGCAGCCATGCTTGGATTTCTGCCCCCTTAAGAACTGTTGAGAATCCAACTTGCTAAAGCAACCCCTAACTGAATATAGCTCTCTAAAAAGAGATCCAATCGTAACCAAACTCAGGAGCATCCCTTTACGTGAATGTTCTAACTTCTGCTAATACCTTATATTTGAATAGCATGTACCCTTTTTAAAGTCTGTTTTAAAATTGATTTTAGAGGGTGTGTAGTGTGAAAAACACTGGCATGAGACAGATTTGGTTAGCATTTCAGATTGCTCTAATTATTCTGTTTATTCTTTCAGCAAATATTAAATACATATGAGCCAAGCATTTCACAGACTTTGAATAATACAAAAATAAATGGGAAGAGGGTTCTTCTTCTAAAGAATGTGTAATGTATAGATCAGAGTGGATTAGGCAAGAGGACTTGTTCTGGGCTAATATTGTTTGAATTTGAATTCCAAGTTTAGCCAGTTACTAGTTTTGTAATCTTGGGGACATTATTTAACTTCCCAACACCTCAGTTTTCTTATCTGTAACTTGTTGAAAACAACATCACTTTTAGCGGGTGCTCTAAATAAGATGATACATGGGATGTGCTTATTACAGAGCTCATCATAGAGTAAGCCCTGAAACATTCATTCTTTATTTCCAGACAATTATTATTACTATTGTTGTTAAGAAAAAACAGTAACAATAGAAGCACCTAACCTAGTTTAAAGCTTGGACTGGAAGGTATTTGGGACAGTGTTTTGGAGAAGATGATGCCTAGGTTGTGCCCTAAGTTACTTAATCAAGTTCTTCAACTGTCAAGATAGAACTGGTGAGTCCCATCTTGCCATCTATTATACAGATCAATGTTCCTTTCCCTCTTTCCTCTTTCTCTTGATCCTCAAAACAATTTAATGAGTATGGCCTCTATATGTACAGATGTGATTTCTCCATGTTGTCTACCTTTCTGGTTAGATTTTAAAAGTATTTTCTTAAGCTTCTTGTGTAAACATTTAGAATGCAGAATTGAAATGGCATTGTCGAAATAAACTGGAAATGAAACTTCATTAAACCCTATAGGCTGGCTTCAAGTTTCAATACTCTTCAGAAATTCTAAGGTCTCATGAAGATTAATAGCCTAGAGAAGCAAAGGTGTAGTTTCTGATAACAGACAGAATGCAGGTTATAACAGGGCTTGATAACTATCAGCATGCAGATTACCCAAAAGGACATTCTAGAAATCAAACAGTCACAGTGAAATTTTTCAGCAGGACACAGCTCTGAGCAAGGTGCAAGGTCCTCAAATGTTCACGAATAACAGAGATCAGCTGTGTAATTGAATATTCTTGATTCCTCATTCATATTGGCAGCCATTATTTTTGTCTGCTGAAAGTGAGAGAAGGATACTTCCCACTGGGAGAGGTGAGATGAGTCTAAATGAAACCTGTAATTCATGTGATTATAGCCACTGCAAATGAAAGAATCTGATTTGCCAAGAAACCTAATAATAGGCAAGACTTTGGGGGCAAAATAGCAATCAGAGATTAGTCAAGCATTTTCTACATTTATGGAGGAAAAAAAAAAATCAGTGTTTCCTTTATTTCTATTCAGAGTCATGCAGAGAAGCAAATGTTTTCACTCAATCTACAATGCCTGCTGCCCATACTCAGACACATATTTGCATAGATACAGTTCTTACTTCCAAAGGCTGATTGTGTTGATAATTCCAATAAAGTTACTTTCTATGATTCAGATTTGTTTTTTTTGTTTGTTTGCTTGTTTTAACTTGACTAGCTTCTCTTTGCTACATTTTTTTGACCAGAGCACCCACATGAAAGAATGGTTTGCCTCTTTGGGCTCCAGTGACCTAATCCATAAAACACAAGTGCCTGAGATCCCTTTTGCACTAACATCCTATGGTTCTTGTCTGCAATTCTCAAAGGAGCTTTGGACATGGATGTTATTTTTTACACTGTGAGCCACCTGGTTTCACAAAACCAAAAAAGGCCCCAAAATGATTTTATCCTAAATTTAAATTTTTTTTTCTGTAACAGAACAATTGGTACAAGGGCATAAGTAGGTCTCAAAATAATAATTTTCAGTAGCTTGTTTAATTTGAGACAGCAGAATCTGTTTTTGGAGAGCCACTTTTAAATGATTCATTTTGAGATTAAAAAATAATAGTAACATATTATTTTCCCTTACTAAAGACTTGTGAAGGAAGTGTAATGAGCGAAATTCCTTAAGTTCCTAATTTTAGAGTAGCTTGGATAAGGTCCCAGAATTTTAGGTGAATATTTGTTATTATAACTCACAGGTTACTTTTTAATGCTTGATAAAGACATTAAACCTAATATTTTAGCTATGCCATTTATTCCTTTTTTGCTTTTCTTTGTTTTCTCTCTCTTCCTTTTTACAAAATTGTTCAGTTTCCATTTCTCTGTTTATTTGTTCTTCTAATTTCTATTGCATTTCTCCTAGCCTGAGAGTTTTCTTTCTCTTTCCAAAACTTATCACGGATAGAATCTTTCTAAAATATATTGTCGCCTAAGACTCTAAAAATGCTTTTATTTTGTTCTTTCTCATGGAGTCTTTAAATAAATCAACAAAAAATGATGAAAACCGCTATCATTGCCTTTTTCCAGGGAGAGTTTGTCTCAATATCTTTTTCATTAGCATTGCTTGTCCACATAGGTTTCCTTAAAACCCATTGTAATATTTTTAGCCTTCAAGAATTTAAGATCCACATTGGAGAGCACATTATTGAGCTGGTGGTATGTTTCAGGCCATCTTTTAGGTGGACAATGTTAAATTTATTATCACATGTATGATTAAATTTTTTGAGGTAGGCATTCTTATCTTCATTTTACAGAACAATAAGGTAATGGAGTGTGAGTACTACGCCCAGGGTGAAGTCATTAGTTAACTGGAAGTGGTTGAAATAGTGGAGAGTTTGGATTCAAAACCCAGATGTAGAGAATCCCAAAGCACATCCTCTGTCCCTTAGCACCATTGATTCTACAAGCCCAAGTATATTAATGCCAGCAGGGAAGGGTTTCTTAAATTCTAAAGCAAAACACTTATAGTGACTGAAAATCACTTTTTGATAGTTTAAAAACTGCCTTCAGCCCATCTTGCTTATTAGAGGCAATTCATTTTGGGGAAAAAGAATGGTCAACCAATTAACTAAAGTATCACAAGATGGTGGCACAGCTGATGCCCTGATTGGGGTTTTGATTTAATGATGGGGCCTGGGGACTATATCTTCACAAGACAAACATTTGCACTTTCTTGAGGCATGCACATTTATTACTAAACTGCCAGCAAACATTCTACTTCCTCTTCTTGTATCCTAACAGGAATATTTTTCTAATCCAATTGTAACTCAACCTTAGCTAGAATGCAGCCTTTCTCCAGATTCCAATATGGTAATCATCCATCACTTACCAGGAACAACAAAACTCTGCCTCTCCCCCAGCTACACAGATTTTGTTACATTTTGTTTTCTGTAATTTGTAAAATGAACATCACTGTTGTTCCTTAAATACAGATCATAATGTTACATTTTTATGTTTAATTATTTGCCTTTTAAAACTCTACCTCTTAATCCCTCCGGAAGCAAAGAAAATAATTGCTGCACTCGAGCATATGGACCCACAGTATCTTAGAAAATACATGGGATTTTTCAGTAGCTAGGACTATGGTGAAAAGACATTAGAGGAGTCAGTGTGTGACTGCTAAAAAAAGGTACATAAAAGGCTGTTTGTAGGCAAGCCAAGATGGAAGGTCTGTGGCTTCTCCTTCAAAGCATCAGTGATTTCCTTTTATACACTGGTGAAATAAATATAAAATACATTTGCGTTGTTGGATCTGGCTTTCTTAAAAGCAGAAATCCATAGCCATGGACATTATGTAGACTCTGAATTAATGCTTGCTTAGATGAATAGCATGAAGAATTGGATGAGACCCCTTTACTAAGTTTGCGTAGTGTCTGTGTCTTCTGTTTAGTGTAGGTTCTTTAACTTTTCCCCCAAGACTCCATCCAGGATTATAGACACCTATGAAATAAAGCCGTCGTGAATATCTGAATGTTTGCTTCAGGGAGTCGATCCAATTCTCTACTTCTTCCAGCCCTTGCTTTCCAACTGTCTGTCCCTTACCTTCTGACACATCATTAGTTACCTTCATTTACTTACTCTCAATGCCTCACCTCTAGGCTCCTTCTCCCAACCCTGTCCTAATTTGGACAATTGGTTACTCATCTCTGGATTATTGCAGACTTGGAACCCGACCAGGTACTAGAGGAGCAGACATTTTTACCTCATTTTATTTATTGACCATGGTACATGTTGGTCTGGATCAGTGAAGTAATAATATTATTAAATGCCCTATCAGAGGATCAGATCAGAATCATGCCTGTAGCCTTATGTGCACAGAAGTAAGAAATACATATTTTTATTTTGCAGTATATAGTGATCTCACAAAACGTCAGGAAGGATACATCAATTCTGGCTGAAAAAAATAGAGGGTATCTCAGCTGCTAATAGAGTATATTGGCCAGTATAAAGTATAGGATCATTAGACATCTGTGCAACTTCTTTTCAGGAGAAGAGTAATTTTTTTACCAAAAGGACAAAGAATCCCTGAATTCTTCTTAACTGAAAGAGAAATATCCCCCAGACTGTAAAGGTGATAATTTTACTAGAGTTTTAAGGCCATATAATCAGATAAACAGGAAACCAACATTTTATCTTTTGCAAACAGTGTGAGAAGTATTTGGGATTTAAAGAATTTGATCTTACAACCAAAACATATGCATAGTTTCTTGAAACATATCGTTTCTTGAGATATACACACATAAACGCACATGTACCTCTCAAAAAACTACATGTGTATTTAATATTCTTATAAAATGCATTGTTTGAAATACCTCATGTACCCCATAAATATATATACCTACTCTGTACCACAAAAATAAAAAAGATTTTAAAAATAGTTTTATAAGAAGCATTGTTTTACAAGAAAACTGAGCCTTATAGAAGTGAAGTAATATACTTCAATTTTATAGTTTAGAAGATAAACAATTTGACTGATATTTTAAAATTAAAATCAGAATTTGAACTCAGGTCTGTAAAACCCCAAAGCCTCTGTGAGATCTTTCCAGTGTCATGGCTTCCTAAGACAAAAGTTTTAAGGAAAATGTGTCAGAACTTTTCAGATAGTTAAGACATTCAGTGAAAAACCACGCAAAATATCAAATCTTGGCTATAAAAATCACTTCCAAAAATAAGCAAAGATGCATCTTCAGTGAGCCAAATAAAGGGCTCCCAAAAGTACTGGTGTACTTAGTAGAGAAGAAAAGTCCAAAATGGCAAAGTGACAAAGTATGTTTTAGATCCTCTAAACTGGTTGAATAACCTCAAAGGTTGAAAGTATTTTACCTAAATTGAAAGGCACAAAAATATGCTTTTCTCTTGAAACTAAATATTCTTAATTATTATTTTACATTATTTAATTTTATGCTATTACAATTAATAAATAACAATCATGACAGTAATAATGATGCTTTGGCCCTCTGTGCACCAGGGTGGAGAGATATATGTAAGCTGGTCCAGAATCATTTGAAATCGTTAGATTTGGGGCACAGAAACTGTCTCCAATACACCCTAGGAACAGATGGTAATAATAAAATCAGTTTTCTGAATTGATTGCATATAATTTCAGATCAGGAATCATTGCTGCTCTGAGAGTAATAGGAAAGATATTTTGTAAGCTTTGCATATTAAACTTAAAGTCAGTACTGAAACCTACTACTTCATTGTTCCACTTCACCAAAATTAATGGATAATCTAAATAAAACTGGCTAGTTTTGCTCTCATCGTAGAAATGATCTGGTCTCAGCACAGTGATACAAAGGAGTACATAACAACTTCAAAAGCTTTGAAAAAAATCACGTACAGCTTTACTGAAGATTTTTTAATTGGGCTTTAACGGAAATTACACCACACATCAGAAAGCAAAATGCCCTGAAAGTTGTCTCTACACAGTAACCTCCCTGAAGTAATGCCCACCATGAAACAGCTGTCTTGCAAGGCACAACTCTATTAACTAAAGTCCGCCATCTGCACACAAGGATCTACTTAACACGTTCCTTAAAGATGGCAGGTTCCTTAATCCTTTCGATGTTGCATAAAGACTATATAACACTTAACTATGAAGAGTCATGGGAAGATCTTTCTCATTGCGTTTTCTTTTAAATTTCATGATTGTGTACTTATTATAGTTCCTTTATAATGGGACTAGATTACCAGACTCTGCAGTATCTCACTTATTTTTTCGTGTGTGACTCTTTCCCGTCGTTCCCTACCTTGCTCAACATCCTAATATCTCATACCATTAACTTGATCCCTTGAGACATGTATTTATAACCATGAACTCTTAACACTGCAACACAAGCAATCTGGCTCTGTTAATGATGTTATCAGCAGGGAGAAACTCATTTAATGACCTGTGTGAGAACCATGCTTTCAATCACATGGATGTTCTGAGCAATAAAAGTGGAAGATCATATGAAAGTGGGTGAACAAAAGACACAGGGTTTTAGAGACGTGTGTATGTAACTGAAGCCATTGTATCTTGGAATACAAGGACAGTTGCACAAAAGCAGTATGTGATATGTAGTCCCATTCCTAGATATCATTGGCCATTTTCCTAGCCAGACACCAAATAGCATGTGATACATAAAAATAAATTGATCCAATAATAGCTAGGATTCCAAGAAATAGTAAATATATTTATGAGGTTATTAACTGAAAAATATCATTACCATTGCTGCAATTCCTAGAGATGGTAGTGAGCTCACACAGGGCACACAGCAGTACTGAAAAACTCTCAGTTGTTCATTCTTCTTCCCCTTCTCTTTTCTCCAAAATCTTTTTTGTTTGATTGCTTCAGGGTGGGTACAGAAAAATTCTCCCCCTTCCAAGTTAACAGAGAGAAAAAGCTGTAAATCCACAGATGTATAGCTAAAGAGGGCCGCTGAGAGCCTCCCAACCCTTTCAAATAACAGAAAAGAGAGCCAAAGTTGAGAAAAGTAAAATGACTTCTCATGGTCAAACAATGTAGCAGGAGACTGTCTTTTCCCCTTACCATCACAGCATGGATACCTAGCATATGTCGGATACTTTCCATGCACTCTGTAAATGTTAATCTAGTGAATAAACTGACGAATGTATTTTTTAATGCCATAGCTATTACCAGTACTCAGAATCCCTAATTCCTTGTATTTTTTCCTGTTGTAGTTCACTGTGATAGTTTCTTTTGGGTTGTTATCCTCTTTCTATGCTTCCTGGAAATGCGGGGAGTGGTCATAAATGTGAGATGAGGAACAGCAAAAGGTCAAACAGTTGGCAATATTGGGTGAAATGATGGATTCTAAGGCACAGGAGTAGAAAAGCTTTCTTCAGGACAAATGACCAGAAACTATTTGAGCTTCATTGAGGTATATGTCTAAGGTGTTAATGTTTGAAATCAGAGCATCAGTGAAATGAAAAATATCAGAATATCCAAATCTTTTGGAACATGTACAGATGCATTCATTATTTTTATGAATGTTTTCATTGTACAAAAAATATATTCAATTTTTATAATTTAGTTCACTTAAAATTCATGAACATGTTAAAAGAACCAGTAGAAATGTTACCATCTAGATAAAACTACTGTTAAAATATTCATGCTTGTACATTCAAAGTTTTCCTATGCCAATATCTGCATCTGTGTGATTTCTCCGTTTGGAAAATTAAAATGATGAATATTAAATGCCATTTTACCCTGTCTTGCTTGTGGCACTTTCTCACCTTTCTCCAATTTCACTGGTATGTGAACTTGTTTTGATAACAGTCAATTGGTGTGGGAATATCAATGTAGCTATCATTATTATCCTGTAACAGGTCCAGGTATTCTGCACTGAGTCATGCCTTCAAAAAGTTTACTATGTATATAAATGTGTGTGTATGTAACTGTTCCATATTCTAATTTTTAATTAAATGTTTCTGAAGTGGTAGATATTAAAATGTTTTTGCAAGGTCAACAAATGAGGGTGAAAGTCAGGATTATGAGTCAAAAGAGAACCTAGAATTAAACATTTCCCCGTAAGTCATCTATCCAGTGAAAAATTTAGAGCTAAAAATGGTAGAATATTCCTGAGAAAGTAAGACTTCTTGTTTCTAAAGTGATCAGTGCCTTGGCAGCCAACCAGCTTTCAACTAAGCAAATGAATTCACTAGTAAGTGGCATCCAACTGTAAAATAGAGCATCATTGAGACTTGGAGAATAGTTGAATGAGTCTTTCTGTGCCTTTGAAGACAAATAAGGAAAAATAAATACTACATTCAGGAAGCTATGTCAGATGTTCTAGATCTGGGCTGACCAATATGATACCTATTAGGCCCAGGAGTGTATTTAGACTTAAATTGTTTTAAATAAAGTAAAATAAAAATTGTAAAAGTAAAATTTTTACTTTAAAAGTGTTTAAGTAGGCTGGGCACGGTGGCTCATGCCTGTAATCCCAGCACTTTGGGAGGCCAAGGCGGGTGGATCACGAGGTCAAGAGATTGAGACCATCCTGGCCAACACGGTGAAACCCTGTCTCTACTAAACATAAAAAAACAAAAAATTAGCTGGGCGTGGTGGCAGACACCTGTAGTCCCAACTACTCGGGAGGCTGAGGCAGGAGAATGGCATGAACCTGGGAGGCGGAGCTTGCAGTGAGCCGAGATTGCGCCACTGCACCCCAGCCAGGGCGACAGAGTGAAACTCTGTCTCAAAAAAAAAAAAAAATGTTTAAGTAAATAAAAGTTTAGTTTCTAAATGGCTTCACAAGCACCTGTGGCCACCAACTGTTTTATTTGACAATGTAGACTTAAACTTTTTTCTTCAATACAGAAAGTTCTGTTGGACAAAAAGTTCTCTGTTGGATTGCACAAAGCTTATATCCTCCATGGCACAATTGAAGAGAGAAGACACAAGCACTTAAGGTTAAATAACAGAAGAAGAACTATCATAAGGTCATATATATTGCAAAGGAATGAGAATGATGGTCACTGCTCTAGCTTCAGCTCAGGTATCATGGACAAGACGATGGCACTTGAAGTGAACATCAAAGAAAATTTGTATATGGGATGATAGAGACTAGGGTGAAATACTTTTTTTTTCAGACTTAAGGTCCAAGGACAAAAGAGGTAATGGTTTCTTTTGAAAGAATCTGGGCATGACCTGATAGCCTACTAGCCTAGGGATCACTGTTGTTCATTGAGAATTTAACCTTTGGTTGTATCATAATGTATTAGGTTTTGGGATATCTTAATGTAAAATATTAATCTCTTTCCTTTGAGGGTCCAACTTTAATTATGAGTATCCAACTGCGTGCCAAGCGCTATGCCTAGGAAGTCACAATTTCATCTCCTGTGTACATGAAGCATTTTTTCTGTATAGCTGAACTTGATGCTTTTACATATGCTTGATATTTTATCCAATTGCTCAGAGTAGCATGGTCTGCTTCAAGTTTTTTTATATCATTTCAAGATGGAAATTAAAAGTTAATTTCTTTTCCTCTTTTGTGGTAGTAACATTGCTGTTTTAAGAGTGGTACTAAGCAAAAATGAAAACAAGAGTATTGTTTTTCAGAGTGACAAATTCTTAGGGATTTAGGGATTGGTGGTGCTTCAAGGCTGACTTGACAAATATATCTGTTTAGGAGTTTCATACTTTATATACAAATGGAATTAACTTGATACCCTTTCATATGGTTTGGTTCTGTGTCCCCACCCACATCTCATGTCGAATTGTAACATTAGATTATTTTAAACACCCCATACAACTTCAAAAAATTCTGAGGTGGCATTGTTGGATTCAGCAAATAAGAATATGGGACACAAAATAAAATCTAAATTTCAGAAAAATAATAGTTTTTAACACGTAAGTATGTCTCAAATATTGCATAGGGCATACACTAAAAATAAACGACAACAACTTGGTGTTTATCTGAAGTTCAACTTTAACTGGGTGTCCTGTAGTTTATTGAGCCAGTGTAGGGATAGTCATTCATTTCACAAATATTTATTGAGTATTGTTAGAATAAAAATCTTAGACAAAATATATTTAACAGAGTTTAATTGAGCAAAGAATGATTTGTGAGTCGGGCAGCCCCTAAACCAGAATAGGTTCAGAGAGACTCCAGCACAGTCAAATAGTGAAAAAAGATTTAGGGATGGAAAAAGATAAGTGACATACAGAAAATGGAAGTGAGGTGCAGAAATAGCCAGATTGGCTATTCCTTGGCATTTGCCTTATTTGAGCACAGTGGGATTAGTCAACTGACTTTGATTGGTTGAAACTCAGTGATTGGCACAAGAGTAATTTATAGTCTGTTTATATATCCAGTTAGGTTGTGGTTTTATGTATGGAGAAATTATTTTTAGGCTGAACTTAAAATATGCAAAGAGGCAGAGTTAGTCTAAACTTAATTTAATAGTACGTGCTAGGATTCATGACTGGTCCTAGGTCCTAAGAATACAGCTATTAAAAAATCAGTTGTAGGTCTTGGACCCCTGGAACTTAGGTTTAAAAGAGATGCTTCTCAATTTTTAGTCTCAATCACCAATTATGTGTTTTTCTCAAAATTAGTTTAGTAATTTTTCACTTTCTCTGATCATTCCTAGTAATTAATTCCTATTATTAATAAACTAATACAAATTATTTTAAGCAAATGACTGAAATCCATTAAATATATTTTGGATATTTTTAAGTAGATTGGATAGTTTTCTACCTTTTAAGAAAGAATGCACTGGTGAGAGGAATTCTTTCAGTGACATACATTAATTTTTGCAACAGAATTATCAAACAAAAATATTTCTAAAATCCATGTTCAAAATGCTCTCTCAACAGAACACTTTTAGAGAAATTCATTATTATAGTTTCAATAATTATTTTTATTTGTATTTATTTATTTACTTTGAGATGGAGTCTTGCTCCGTTGCCCAGGCTGGAGTGCAGTGGCATGATCTCATCTCACTGCAACCTCTGCCTCGTGGGTTCAAGTGATCCTCCTGCCTCAGCCTCCTAAGTCGCTGGGATTACAGACGTGCTAATTTTTGTATTTTTAGTACAGATGGGGTTTCACCATGTTGGCCAGGCTGGTCTTGAACTCCCAACCACAAGCCATCCACCTGCCTGGGCCTCCCAAAATGCTGGGATTATAGGCCAATTATTTTTATTTTTTAAATGACATTATTAAACTATCATTTCTGTAAATGCTAACTTAACTGATACTTTTTCTATGCAATAGCTGTTGAAGGACTCACCTATGACAAGTTTAATCATTTTCTTATTGTCTACTTTTGCTTGTATTAAGAATATTTTCTTCAATCCATGGTGCCTGTCTATTAATTTTTTAAGCTTTGTAGACATTCTGTGAAGGTTAGTAAAACTAGTGTATATTTTCTGTCAGTTGTCTTAACTAGACACATAAATGGGACACATATAAATTGTAGAAAGTTGAAAATAATTTTAGGATATTGTTAATAATTCTCTTTTTAAAAAAAATACTTGAATTTCTTTTACACTTGATCTTAGCCAAAAGGCTGAGAAATGATTACCTTGGCTTTCTTTTATTGAAAATGTTTTCACATATTAAATTCAAATTGTTAAAAATTACATGTAAGCACATAATGTACAATATATTTATCTAAAAATATGTGGGTAACAGTTTTGAATAAGAAACCATTTGAAATTTAAAATTCTTTTTTGTGTAACCAATGCATGTACGGGTTTCTTTTATGTTTGAGTCACTAGTTTATTATTTGTGATGATCCACTAGTATATTCACTAATGTTCCCATAAAACTGCCTAACTTATTCTTTTTAATTATTGTTGTGTTAAGAACACTTAACAGGAGATCTACCCAAAGAATTTTTATGTGCAATACGGAATGGTTAACTTCACCATGATGCTGTACAGATCTCTAGAACCTAATCATCTTGTATCACTGAAGTGTCAGTTATTAAACTGTGAGTTTTAAAGTCACTTTTTCTATCAAAACATCTTTTATTGACTATGATAAATAACCAAAACAACAGTAACCACAACAATAACCACAGAAGCAACATATATATGAGTAAAGCTTACATTTTTAAAAAAGTAAACATAAATACAAATATGTTAGTTCTAATATTTTCTTCCTTTATGCCAGTGAACTGTCTTGTGCTTGTGCTTCCCAGGTTGAGGACCACCACCAGAGATAAAAGCTTAGGCCTTTGACCCCGTGTATAACTCAGTTAATCACTTACTGCACTAAAATAGTGCATGTTGTCTGCACCACCATTAAGTAAGCCTTAATTAGCCCTTGTGATAGTAAGGAAACTTGACACTGAATCAGCATTCCTAAGAGCGCAGAGAAGCAAATGGAGCACAGGATGAAATTATTGCATGTGAAACCTTTCTTTCAAGAGAACCAATAACTATAATTGAAACATCTCACAATATTTGATTTGCGTTCACCCCATAACCAAATGCTTCAATTAAACTCATTTGTATTAGAATGGCTGAGATCATTTCCAACACTTTGTCTAAATTACTACAGGCTTCAGTCTGGAATATCAAACTCTGACTTCAGAGGACACAGCCTGGGCTTTTGGCAGCCACTGGACAGAATGTAACAGGGATCTTTATCATTCTTATATGGGAGTTCTCATTAGTGACTATAAGCACTTTTTTCATATACTTGAAGCAAAATTTATTCCACAGAGAGCTAATCAGCATCCACAGCCATCAAACAGGATTCCAAAGTAGTTTTTATTTTTAAAGAGGTGTGTGGTTTTACACATGGTAAAGGAAGATGAAAATACCCCTTCTGCTTGCATTTTGGATCTATTTAAAATATTGAAATGTTGTCTAAGCAGAGATGAATTTCAAGGTCAGCTCTCCCGTGGGACACCTGTCTTTGCTTCCCCTGAGGAAATAATGTGGACTAAGTTCTGAAATATTTGTCCAGTTATTTTGAGGTCAGGAATTGTACTCATTAATACCAACTGAAATGTAAGCACCTAGAAATATTGTGGAATGCAAGAAAATCCTAATGTACATCCAAACTGTGAAGGAATAGTTAACCTCTCATAACCACTCCTACTTTTGGGGAAGGAGCTCATCAGTGGCCTACAAAGACCTTAATGCATAGTGGTAGCCTGGACATTGACTGAAAATACTCATTGTTCTCTGATACCATGAATTCTTTCCTCTAGTACCATAAACTTTTAGAATTCAAAGAAAGCAAAAATGCAACCCATGCTCCTCTAGATAACAGTCTGAGGCCGTGGAAGAGAATTGACTTGGCCCGAGGTTTCACAGCTTTTCTGGGACAGAGCAAAGGAAGCTAGAATCAAGACTTTATGGATCTCAATATTCTTCTTTGTCTTAGTGACTCTACTGGCTGAAAAGTACTGATTTTCAGCACTTATACATCAATTTAATGCAGATAATTTAAACAGAAGACAACCTGATTAAGAATGATGACCTTTAACACAAGTTTTAAAAAACATCTGAAGTGTGTACATGTATATTGCCCAAATGATCATAAGCTTTATGAGGTCAGGGACTGAATATTTAATTTCATGGGATTTTTTTCCTAGGCAGTGCAAATCTTTCCTCAGTATAAGTGTTTAGCAATTGCTGGTTAGTGGGGAAAAGCATAAGGTCATGAAGACTGTTATCTACCACTCTCCTCTGTATCCATGCCTATAAGATAATGTGAAAAAATTACCGCACTGGGCAGGGAATATCTGAGCAGGTGAATACAAATATACTTTTAAAAGGATGCCTTTAAAATTCCTCCTTTCTTTTCTCCTGTCCCTGTTCCTGCTGTGAAATGTAAGATAGGATTTTTATACTTTTACACATCCTTAGTTCTGTGAGAGGGGACAGGTTTGAGGACTTAATCCTCTTTTTAAGTGCCACAAAAATAAGGAAGCGATGAATCTTGTCTTTGAAGTTTATAAGGATTTTTTGAGCCAAAACCTTTTGTCCTTAATAAGTAATAGATCTGCAGGCAAGCAAAGTCCTTAGATGCTTAGAACTGGCTACCTAGTTGGCAATAACGTTAGAACAATTTTGATGTATTTTAAGGTTGGATGAGATCTCCAACCCAACCTCCTTTTTAGTAAATAATAATTTGCTGTACTATTGCTGACCAGTCCTTTCTTTGCCAGTTTCAAGAGTGTTTGATGATTATTATCACCACACAGGATTAAACACTGTAAGGAAGATAGATAGATAGAAGATTCTTATGGCATCATTTTCAGCTGGCCAAATAAGAAAGAAAAGTGGTTAGTTCGTAAGTATGAAGAGATGCCAAAATCTAACAAAACAGAAAAGCTATTATTGGAAACAAAAAACCAAAATAAATCAACACCATATAAGATATATTTTATTGCTTTAATTTCCAGGATTTCTGTGTAATCAATATTTGTTGACTCATATACCATGAAGTTATGGCTATCTAAATAAATTTAATCACCAAAGATAAGCAAAGGATCTGTTAAAAAATTTAACTGGGGCCGGGTATGGTGGCTCACGCCTGTAATCCCAGTACTTTGGGAGGCCAAGGCGGGTGGATCGTGAGGTTGGGAGATCAAAACCATCCTGGCTAACACGGTGAAACCCTGTCTACTAAAAATGCAAAAAATAAAATTAGCTGGGTGTGGTGGTGGGCACCTGTAGTCCCAGCTACTCCAGAGGCTGAGGCAGGAGAATGGTGTGAACCCGGGAGGCAGAGCTTGCAGTGAGCCGAGATCGTGCCACTGCACTCCAGTCTAGGTGACTGAGCAAGACTCAGTCTCAAAAAAAAAAAAAAAATTTAATTGGAAGGTCATTAGGCATTTTGGGTTCCTACGTAAGCAAACTGAAGCTCAATATAAACAGTAAAACAAAATGAAACTTAAGCTTAACTAATCAGAGACTTCGACTAACCTCTAACTTAGGATATTCCACTTTAACAAATCAAGTATTTTGTTTTGCTTCTGCAAACACTTTATACAAGTTTACTTTCTTGCCCTCTCTGCCCCTCATTCCCAGAGGAATGCTGAACCACTTGCATTTGAATTGGTGTGAACCAATTCATGAATCACCAAATGCCCAAATAAACTCTTTAAATTTTTCATGTGCCACAGTTTATCTTTTAACAGATCGAAACCAAAGGTTGGAAAGTATGGTGGGAAAAACTATTGGCTCATATGATGTTAGGTCATGCTAAAATATCAAATGGGGATTGTATTAGTCCGTTGTCCCATTGCTGTAAAGAACTGCCTGAGACTGGGTAAGTTATAAAGAAGAGAGGTTTGATTGACTCACAGTTCTGCAGGCTGTGCAGGAAGTATGGCTGGGGAGGTCTCAGGAAACTTACAATCATGGTGGAAGATGAACAGAAAGGAGGCACATCTTACATGGTGGGAGCAGGAAAAAGAGAATTAAGGGGGAAGTGCTACACACTTTTAAACCAGATTTCATGAGAACTCGCTATCACAAGAAGAGCAAAAGGGAAGTCCGCCTCCATGACCCAATCACCTCCTACCAGACCCCTCCTCCATCATTGAGGGTTGTAATTTGACATGAGATTTGGGTGGGGACATATAGCCAAACCATATCAGGGATATTTAAAATGGTACCTCTATTCTCTATATAGATGTTGTGCTTAAAGTGAATACACACTTTTTTCCTCCTGTCTATTTGGAATAGCTTTAACATTAGAACTAACCTCATCAGGCCCATCAAATTTAAGCTACCTTAGGATATTATGAAACCCAGCACCAAAATAGTATTACAAAAACATTCTCCAAAAGCAGAAATAACTCGTGGGCTTGAAAAGGGACCTTTGTTTCTCAAAGTCTGAGAACACAGCAGGGCAGGGATCAGCATGTGTAGTCTTCTTGCAAGTCAAATGCTTTATCTGTGAAGCGAAACACTATGCGGAACTCTGGTTCTGCCAGAGACATAGCAGTAATGATGCTATTAATTTGTAGTTTTGGTTGAATATGTGTCAATGAAATAAAAAGCTTAGCTCCTGGAGTTTTTAGAATTAATGTTTTTCAAAGTTGTAAGAAAATGTAAGGCATTCTGGCCATGTTAGCAAAATAAAAAATTGGTAGGGAGCTGGAGGACAAAATTCAGAAAAAAAAACTTTCCCCAAGGCTTTTTTGATTTTTAATATTCAGAAGGCATCGCTACGTTTGTACAAATGGCTATGGAGAATAAAACTGAAACAAAGTTGTAGGAACATAGTGGATGGAAAAAATTCATTAACCCTCTTATCTATACAACATTCTTTTCCTATCTGATGTTCTGTATTATATGGAAAGTCAGCAATATCTACTTTCATTTTAAAGATGGGAAACCGAGGTCTTGGAGAAGTTGAGGCCATTTAGTGAAGAGATATACTGTAACCAAGGGCAAGAATGCAAATATCCTAACATTAAAAATTCTCTTTTAGTGGGATGCAATCCAATACCAACTATCCTGATTTGAATTTGAATCGGATTTCAATTCATTCACTGTCAAACTCAATTAAGACACATTTATTGGGAGCCTCCCATTAGCTGGTACAACCTTAGGGACTAGAAATAAAGTGAGAGACAGCTCTGTCTTCAGAAATCATACAGTTTATTTGGAGAAATAGGCAAGAAAACAACAACTGCAAAACATAGTAATATGAACATTCAACAAATGGGCCATTGGAACATTCAAGGGACCCTAAGTTTAAGATCACTGTATATCCCACTTTACCTGGGAGAATTCTGGTTTACTTCAAATGTTCTTGAGTAATTATTGTTGGTACCCGATTTCACCCTGGAAAGAATCCTGGTTGCAATTATAAATTATATGACTACCTTACTCAACCTATGCCAGGAGATGAGAAAAAGCCTTTTTAAATGAAGTTACTTTAAACTAGTTACTCCCATATAGTTTTCCAACTAATTTCAAAAACTCCTATTTAATTTACTTCCAGTATATTATCTGTATTGTCACCAAATGATCATTCTAAAACCCAAATCTAGCAGTGTCATACCTAATATTTAAAAAAATATCATTAGTCCCTTATCTGTAGGATAAATTCCAAACTCTTTAGTACATTATGTAAGGTATCCCCTGTCCTTGCCTCTGCCCATCTGTGGATATTCATTAAAAATACATTAAAAAAAATGCCTCTTAGTTCTTCAGTCATAGCAATTGTGCCATGCTGTTTCAAGCCTCTGTGCCTTGACACATGCTGTTCCCTGTGACTATAATTCTCTTCCTCCAACATTGATCTGCCTAGTGGACACCTAGTTCATTTTTCTTTCTTTCTTTCTTTCTTTCTTTCTTTCTTTCTTTCTTTCTTTCTTTCTTTCTTTCTTTCTTTCTTTTTCTTTCTTTCTTTTTCTTCCTTCCTTCCTTCCTGTCTGTCTTTCTTCCTTCCTTCCTTCCTTTTTCTTTCTTTCTCTCTTTCTTTCTTTCCTTTCTCTCTCTTTCTCCTTCCTTCCCTTCCTTCCCTTCCTTCCCTCTCTTCTCCTTCCTTCTCCTTCTTTCCTTCTTTTCTTTTTTTCTTTTCTTTTTATTTTCTCTTTTCTTTTCTTTCAAAAACATCTTTCCTGAGCCTCACAAGCTGAAATTTGCCCCCTTAATTTCACCACTGAACAATCTCTACATTGGCGTGCATCACAACACATTACATGTTTTGTCTACATGTCTGTTTCCCTGACTTAGCTGCAGATTTTTTGAGGGGTCCAACCTGTTCTCATCTGTGTCTCAATGTGCCTGTGCCCATTTAATAAATGCTTGTTTAGCTGCATGTCTTAAAAATTAGGTGAGCAGGAAAAAAGGTAGGTTAGGAGAAGTTTTTGAAGGATGACAGAATTTGCAAAGGTATAGATATTTAAGAACATCAGATAATCTTTGGGAACTGCATATTGTTTAATGTGTCCCAGTCATTCGGTAACTGTGGGAGAAGAGATTACGGAAGGAGAATTTTTTTGTGTGTAATTACTACAAATTCCCATGGGTTTTGGGAAACAAAAATCCCATGGATGATCTATTTTGCTAGAAAGTATATTTTAAAAGGGGCAGACAGGCTAAAATTTTCATTCGTTTCCTAAATGAGTAATGATTTACTACCATGTAGTAGGTATTGTGCAAAGCAGATTGTGTACTGTGGTTGTAAACGAGCCCGTTAACATTGGCTCCTCCCTAATGTACTTTTCTGTGTTCCATTAAGGGAATCTCAGAAGTGGAAATGTCTGAATTAAGAAAGGTCTCAGGCAGGGTGCGGTGGCTCATGCCTGTAATCCCAGCATTTTGGGAGGCCAAGGCAGGTGGATCAGGAGGTCAGGAGATCCAGACCATCCTGGCTAACACGGTGAAACCCCATCTCTACTAAAAATACAAAAATTAGGCCGGGCGCGGTGGCTCACGCCTGTAATCTCAGCACTTTGGGAGGCCGAGGGGGGCGGGTCAGGAGATCAAGACCATCCTGACTAATGTGGTGAAACCTCGTCTCTACTAATAATACAAAAAATTAGCCGGGCATGGTGGCGGGCGCCTGTGGTCCCAGATACTCGGGAGGCTGAGGCAAGAGAATGGCGTGAACCCGGGAGGCGGAGCTTGCAGTGAGCTGAGATCGCCCCACTGCTCTCCAGCCTGGGCGACAGAGCGAGACTCCCTCTCAAAAAATAAATAAATAAATAAATAAATAAATAAATAAATAAATAAATAAATATTAGCCAGGTGTGGTGGCACGTGTCTGTAGTCCCAGCTACTCAGGAGGCTGAGGCAGGAGAATCGTTTGAATCCGGGATGCAGAGGTTGCAGTGAGCTGAGATTGCGCCATTGCGCTCCAGCCTGGGTGACAGAGTAAGACTCTGTCTCAAAAAAAAAGAAAGGTCTTAATTTGGAGATTAACATTTAATGAGCATCTACTCTTTGGGACCTCTCATTCCACACAAAACCAAAAACCAAAGATAAGGTCATAGGGAATATCAGCAGCAGAACCAGCATGACTCTGATCCCAGAGGATCCTGTGATCAGTCAACTTGCTTGGAAAAACAGTAGAAGCAGCAACTTAACTGGCTACTGAAAAGCATTCATTCGCACTTGCCTGGGATATGCAAATGTCTGACGAGTCTCCAGCACTGATGGGATTTTAGTGAATGTTAGCAAAAATTAAAGAATCAAGAAGCTATTGAAACAAACACCTGATTAATTATCCTGCATATACTTCAAATACAGTGAACTTGAAATTATCCCTAATCTGTTCCCCATACAGTGATTCATGGCATTAGGTTTTTTACATTCCTGGAGCCATAATGGACCAATAGGTGTAGAATTCAAGAAGTTTTTTTTTTTTTTTTTTTTTTTTTTGGTGGGGTGGGGAGGTCTGGTATTAAAGAATTATGCACTTTAGGAGATTTTTTTTTCTGTCTGTCTGCCCTGGGAAGTTTACTGGGACTTTGGTGAGGAAGGGGGGTTAAGTTAAATCATTTTCAATCTCCACTGAAGAAATGAGTGTAGACATTCCGCAACAAAGACTGACTATGTCATAAAAAGAGAGATAGCTAGATATTTTTTGCTTCCTAATGAAAAAAACACATCATTTATAAAATAGTATTGAAAAAAGAAAATCTAACCTGAATCAGATCAAGCTTCTATATCTAATTTCCAATTTATAGGAAGTACAGAGGACAGAGGAGCATGTTAAATTCTACTATGGAGATGCAATCAACAAAATACTCATTTTGTAGTAGTCCACAAACCAAATTACCCTGCTTATTTGACTAATAAATTGCAAGAGAGGGACAGAGCGAAAAACAGAAAGATTATATAGATTAAAAGAGACTTAAAAGATATATCGAGCAATCCCAATGTCAGGGCATTATTTAAATCCTAATTCAAGTAAATGTTAAAAATAAGCAAGAACTCTGTAAGACAATGGAAATTTGAATACTAGCTGCAAATTTGATTACATTGAAAATGATTTTTAAATTATTTTTGGTGTGATAATGGTGTTGTTTTTATGTCTAACAAAGCCCTTGTCTTTTAGAGATGCATACTGAAATACTTATGAAGAAAATTACATGGTATATAATTTTTTTCGAAATAATAGAGAAAAACAGTGAATGGTCATAGATTTAATGTGGTTCACCATGAGTTCATTGTCGAAGCTAGGTGATGGACATACGCAAGTTTATACATATTATTCTGTCAGTTTATGTCTTATATTCTCCATAAAAAATTGAAAGCTACTGGAAGGAAAGACAATATATTAATTAATGTAGATCTCTCTTCACAAAAACAAACATGTTAATTCCCAGGGAGATGAATCTGTCCATTTCACTGTGAATTATTTTATTTTATTTTTTTGTAGAAAATATGCATTACAGAGTAGCAATATAGAAATTTTTAACCTGGTATGTAAGTCCAGGAGTGATTTAGTAAATCCGTAGTTACCCAGAACTATATACAAAATTGATATTAGATGTTTGTGTTTTTGCATTCTGGAAATCAAAGGATTCAATAAATCAAGAGTATAAAATAAAACACAGATATTATTGCTTTTTAAAAAAGAGATTGCAGAGAAATTTTGATTGTCCTTATGTGATCTGGAAACTGAAATAATAAAATGCATTTCCTACATAACATAATCAATGAGAAAATGTTTATATTTTGTCAAATCTATGCATATTACAATGTATAATTTGAGGCAAACTTTTTCTTTGAGCAAAAATAATGATACATCCTTGTGTATTGCAGTTTGTATTTGACTAAATCTGCTTTGTCCATGTTTGTGAGCTCAAAATCATCTCCTCTCTAGATCACGTCTCTTCACTCATTTAAGGCAACCTCCCTTCTAGCCCATGGCCTTCTCCAATTTTCCTTGGCCAATGTTGAACTGTAGGAACTCTGAGGAACGTTTAGATTTCTATATGTACCATTTAATAAATGTTCTGTCTGCAAGTTCAGGATAAGTTCTCTATTGGCATAGACCATAATTTTGCTGCCTATGTATTCCTCTAGTTGTGTTAGTCTGGTGAGTAAGAAAGCATCACTATTCACGGTGCTTCCACTCATTTCATTTTGCCTTTGATCTAGAAGTAAAGACACCTAAATTAGACATTGTAGAGGAAACCAAATAAATGCCATCTTTGAAGAAATATTTGTATAATACTTTTTAAATTCTCTAAGTTTACTCATATACTTTTATTCTAGTTGAACGTGAAAAATTAGGCACACGTGGAAATGTTCAATGACATAACTGTAGGCAAATTTCTTTTTTCATATAGTTCCTTTTTTTAGTTCTCACTTTGTTGTCATAATTAGGCATTTTAAAGTCCAAAAGACATATTCTAAGACAAAATTACAATAAAAACCTTTCCCCTCGTGTAAGTTTCCTTGTAAGGCCATTTTGAATATGATCCTTTTTTTACAGCTTTACTTATATTTGTTTTTTTAAAGTATGTAAGTTCACATATTTAGAATCTCTTATTCTCACATTTAAAACTGAATTTAGGAAAATATATTATCTAGGAAGATTTTCATGAGTTTTTCTCATCAGCAGTGTTACCTATTTTTCTGCAGTGTAACAACTTTGGAACACAAAGGCATTTGAAATAGGCATCCTTGATACAAATTGCAGATTACTTTCTCACTACTCCTGGCTGTGTACTCCCAAATCAATAGAAACTCATGGGATCTGAAAATTAAATCTTGCAGTCCATTTTTAAAATTCTGACTTTATTGATAAGGTTATAATCATTCTGCACAATTTTAGCAAGTTCAGGTGGAAAAGTGTTAACATTGGCATTTGAAAATGAATGTACTAAGTAGGAGGGTAAAGAGATGTAAAGTCTCTACATCCCTAAAGGTCCTTTTTAAATTTCATAGACTGCACTAAGTACATCAGAGGCATTTTGCTGAAACACCCTGCTATTGCCAGGTTGGTTCCTTTTGCATTACCTTAATGCAAGAAACTAGACTCATCCCAAGTGGGGAAGAGTAAAGCTCAGTCATTTCCAATTAAGAAACCACTGATCTCAGTCATCAAGACTCCGAGAGCTCTGACAAAATCTAAGACAGTTTTGTAAATACAATGGCCACATACTCATTTCTGAAGGGCTAGCATTTGGAGCTCTATTAACAATAAATACATTCTGAATTTACACTACATGCTATTTAATAGCCAAGAAGAACCTGAGGAGACTTTAGAACTAAAGTCTAAAGTCTAGTTCGTTTCGAACTAAAGTCTAGTTCTAAAGTCTAGTTCCTTTCCCCTCATGTAAGTTTTCTTGTAAGGTCATTTTTGAATATGATCCCTTTGTTTTTTCTTTTCTTTAGCACTAACTAGACTTTATTCTAGTTCTTCTTGGCTATAAAATAGGATGTAGTAAGAAACAATGTGTTTATCTAGCTCTTCTTCTTGATAAACGAACAGTATCATAAGGACTGTGATTCACCACTTCAACTAAACTCAAAAAGAGTATATTTTTTATAATTTATCTTTCCGTGTTAAATAGTTTGGAAAGAACCAATCATTCCCTATGTCCTTGCTTATGTCCTTCACCATCGCAAGTCTAAAATTCCTTGTTTCTACACCTAGATGGATTTTACCCCAATGTGAATGTGTGAATCCTGTAATTGGATTTATACTGTTCATTAGTCCCCCAAAACTCTCAAAATCCTCAAAATCTTCTAGCATCACAAAAATTCTGTCTCTTTAACCTTTTCAGTTATTATTTCTTCTCCTTGCCATGAATAGAACACTGCATCTCTACTGAATTCACTGCTTCCCTTGAGGCTTTGTGAAGTCATCAGTATTTTTTGATCCTCATAATCCTTACAACACAAGTCCCAGAAATAAGACTGTTTCGTAATTCTGGCTGTTGTTTCTTTTCTCCCTCAAAAACCCCTGCTGTTTGATGTCATACATGGCCACTTTCTATCCCTTTGTATTAGTCTGTTCTCATGCTGCTAATAAAAACATACCGAAGACTGGGTAATTTATAAAGGAAAGAGGTTTAATCAACTCACAGTTCCACATGGCTGGGGAGGCCTCACAATCATGGCTGAAGGCAAATGAGCAAAGTTACGTCTTACATGGCAGCAGGCAAGAGAGCTGGTGTAGGGGAACTCCCTTTAGAAGATCTTGTGACACTTATTCACTATCATGAGAGTAGCATGGGAAAGACCCCTTCCTGTGATTTAATTACCTCCCACCAGGTCCCTCCCATGACATGTGGGAATTACGGGAGCTACAATTCAAGATGAGATTGGGTGGGGACACAGCCAAACCATATTACCCTTCTCATTGTTATTGTTTACTAATCTTCCAATTTTAGCACTGTAGTCACTTTTTTTTAATGCTGAACTTGCAATCTTTCTTGGGGACAGTAACAGTCATGGGGATAATTCGTTGTAAATGGCTCTCATATTTTTACCACTTTACCCAATTCTCTCTTAATTGCTTAGTCATTGTTATCAGTACTATTTATACCATCTTTCCAAAGCCTAAATTTCAAATCTCTGTGATCACCATTTTCTATATTTTATGCTCATTTACTCCATTCCATCCATGACAAAAATTTAACTCCATTTGAACTTCCAACCCACTTAGACTACAAGTTTTCCACTTTCTCCTGGCTCATGTACTCATTTTCCCTCAACCAGCTTAGGGTTCATGGTCCATCATTGCAGTAAGTTGTTTAATGTACTTTCAAGTCTTTCCACCTTCCCCTGACACCCGCTGACAATCTCACAAAACTCCAGCACTACCCAAACCTAACTTCCTCCCTACTTGTCTCTCTCTGCTCCCAGTGTCTGGAGGAATCACACAGCCTTACCACTAGGACTCCATTTTAATTTGTAACAGCAAATTTTAAATGAGTACCCAGGACCACTCAGAAGTGCCCAGACACCCTTCTACATTTGTCTAGTGAACTCACTTTAGTTCTTCTTTCAAATTCCACATTCTCTCCAGACCACCTTTACTCTCAGTGAAAAACTCACGGAAGTAAGAAAAATTCTCTTCCACCATCGAATCTACCAACTTGCATGCAACTGGACTCACATTCTCAGCATTCTTTCTCACTGCTATTGTGACATCCCTGTCCCTGTTACTAACTGGATATTACACTCAGGCTCTAAGCCCCATTGCTGCTTGTTTTCTCTAGGACTTCCTACTATTACTTTTGGTTTCTCTAACATCATCACTTTTTCCATGTGTACTGCACCCTTGTGACTCAATACACAACTATGCTGCACAATTTACAATGTAAAAACTAAAAAACCCCGTCCACCTTATGCAGTCTAGTGAGGGGACTAGAATCCCACCAGCCCCTGGTTTAGAGTAAAGAGTTAAGGTGACCAAAGGCTAGCTCAGGCTTATTCACTTTTCCAGGATGGTCTCAAGTTTCCAATCCAGTACAGGAAAAGTATGCTGGCACGTTTCAAGTTTCTGCTTATACCATGGTTGGCACATGTGCATTGGCTAAAACAAGTTACAAGACCATATTCAAGGGATTGAAAAGCTAAGTCAGTCACATTGCATATGCATGGATACAGGGAAGAAAAGAATTTGTGGAAAGGTAGTAAGTCTCCATAAAGAGGAAGTGGCTGTGTGATGTGTCTAGAAAAATGAGGCCTTAGGCAGTCTTGCAGATATTTGATATTTCCAGTGGCTCTGCAAGGCACAGCAGTATCAGGAAGACACCTTTGTAGCCATAAATGACACAAAGTTAATAGAAAGATGTGGTTAATAGAATGGGGCTTTGTGGATGGGCACAAAGAGTGACTGAACAATGAAAAGCTGAACTAACAGCATGATGAGCTCTCATACCTTGATACTCAGAGTCAGCATAGGGAGAAAAAGCTGTGAAGTGCAGATAAACTGAAATAGATCAAATATTCCAATACCTTTGCAGAGAAGGGGCTTAAAATAGAAATTTAGTTGCAAAATAAAAAATTAAAGAATTTTGATTCATTGTGTCTCTCAGTTTGTGGCCTAAAATTCATTATCATTACACTTGAATTGTCTACTGTTATTTACCTAATGCTTCCCCCATACGTAAGATCATACTAGGGTGTCTAGCCAGGGAAAAGGTAGCTTTCATCTGGCAAGAACCAAAACAGTGCTTTTTTTCCTTACATTCTTCCTTATTTGGGGAGGTTCCTTTTCCAAAACTCCACTGCCTTTGGCAACATTCACACAATTTTAGAGCCCTTATCTTGGCCAGCAATTGTGCCAGTGACTACAATGAGTCCCGGATAAATTAAACCTGGTGAGAACACTATGGAGACAGCTGGCTGAGGCTTGGTTTCAGCTCTCTTAGTGCACTCTTTGTAATTATGTTCTTCCTATTTTATCTTTTTAATAATTTTATTTCTTCCTTTATTCCTTCTCTCTCTTGTTCCCCAGTTCAACTCTCAATTTTATTTTCTTCCATTTCTTTTCTTTCTTTTTTTTCTGGTTACTCTAAATTTTGAATGGCATGGGTAGTCTTTAGGGACAAAATCCATTGAGATCTAACTGAATGATCTGATTTAATACTGTTTTAAATATTTTATTCATATTACATGGCCAGGACATTTGAATATTATTAATAGCTTTCCTCATGTAGCATGTAAAGCTTATTTCACAGACATTTGCATTGCTTCCAAATTTTACCATTATATGTTGAATAATCCCATGATTAATATTTATCATTCTCTTTTAGTCTATATCGTTATTTATTCACTGGGTAAGTATGGTTACAAATCTTGCTTAATTCATAATGCTAAACTGCTCATCAGTAATGAGGATGTCTTTCTAATGAGAGTGGAGTTACTCTTTAATACTAAAAAATCTTTTAAGACTTAGAGGAATAGTAGTAATAAGTCAGGGCAGGCTGTAAAGAGAGTCCTATTGAGAGCTCTCAGTGTGGCTTGGGCACCAAAAGGACACAACTGAAATTCACAGACTAGTCTTAGAGCTGGAGAACACAACTGTAATAACAGGGTAGAAAGCAGTTCAGGAAAGAATACTCATATCCAAACAAGAAATTATTTATTTATTTATATATATAAAGCAATATAGTTATAAGTATTTATATTGTTATAAATATTATACCCTCTGAAACTAAAAGTCAAATGTGTATATATAGATATAAAATACTAAAAGTCAAATAATATATAAAATTTGACTTTTAGTTTCAGAGGGTACATGTGCAGGTTTGTTACATGAGTAAATTGCACACAAATTGTTGCATAAGATTGCTTATAATTGTTGTACAAATGATGCCGTCAACCAGGTAGTGGGCATAATACCAGATAGTTAGCTTTCCAACACTTCTCTCCCTCCCATCTTCCCCCTTGAGATGGTTTGGCTCTGTCTCCCTACCCAAATCTCATCTTGTAGCTCCCATAATTCCCACGTGTTGTGGGAGGGACCCAGTGGGAGATGATTGAATCATGGGGGTGTTCTTTCCCCTGCTGTTCTCATGATAGTGAATGGGTCTCACGAGATCTAATGGTTTTAAAAATGGGGTTTTCTCTGTACAAGCTCTCTTTTTGCCTGCTGCCATCCATGTAAGATGTGACTTGCTCTTCCTTGCCTTCCACCATGATTGGGAGGCTTCCCCAGCCATGTGGAACTGTAAGAAAAATAAAACTCTTTCTTTTGTATATTATCCAGTCTTGGTTATGTCTTTATCAGCAACATGAAAAAGGACTAATACACCCCTCTATTAGTCCCCAGTGTCTGTTGTTTTCATCTTTATGTCCATGTGTACTCACTGTTAAGATCCCATTTGTAAGTGAAAATATGTGGTATTTGGTTTTCTATTCCTGCTTTAATTTGTTTAGGATAATGGCTTCCAGCTGCATCCATGTTGCTGCAAAAGACATTATTTCATGCTTTTTGTACGGTTACATAGGATTCCATGATGTATATGCACCACATTTTCTTTATGCAGTCCAATGTTAATGGGTATCTAGGTTGATTCTGTGTCTTTGCTATTGTGAATAGTACTGTGATGCACATAGAAGTGTCTTTTGGTAGAACAATTTATTTGTGTCTTTTTGGTAGAACAATTTATTTTCCTTTAAGCATATTCTTAGTAAAGGTATTGCTGGGTCAAATGGCAATTCTGTTTTAAATTCTTTGAGAAATCTCCAAACTGCTTTCCACAGTGACTGAACTGCTTTACATTCACACCAACAGTGTGTAAGCCTTCCTTTTCTCCACAACCTCGCCTACATCTGTTGTTTTTCAGCTTTTTAGTAATAACCATTCTGACTAGTGTGAGATAGTATCTCATTGTGGTTTTGACTTGCCTTTCTCTAGTGATTAGTGATGTTGGGCATTGTTTCATATATTTGTTAGATGCATATGTGTCTTCTTTTGAGAAGTGCCTATTGCTGTCCTTTGTCCATTTTGAGGTGTTTTTTTTGGCAAACAAGCAATTTTAAAATACAGAAATTATGAAAACAATACCAGATGACAACAAACTGGGAGTAAATGCACGGTATGACAGGGAAGCTTCAGATGAAAGGTAGTCCAAATTGATTTTTCTGTGATAAATCCATTCTGGAAATTCTAGGTAATGCATCTCTCAAATATTAGCATGTTTATTATTCACCTGGGCCTGTGGGATTAGGTGGGGCTGAGGTGGGTTGGGTGTTGGAGGGTTGCTTATCCAGAAATTATGATTAGTAGAGCTGAGTTGGGATCCAGGTGATTATGATGGAGATGCTCAGTCAAAGGCACACATTTTGAGCACATTGATTTTAAAGGTAACTGACTTGAGTAATCCCCGCAGTCCCTCAACAAACATTAAACAGTTTACTTCAAATTCATTTCAAATATATGTTTGAGGGTCTTTTGACTCTCACTCTCATAGTCTGGGGATATAAAGTTTAGTAAGACACCTTACGCTTTCCCTTGTGAGGAACTTATCCCGGGGGCAGCTACCTTTCTACCTACTTTTAAAACCATAGCTGACCATATGCAGGTGCCATGTACTGAGTCTGAAAGCACAGTTTTTATTCATCAGTTTTTCTCTCCTTCTACCCTCTCTTCTCACTCTTCCTCCTTTGTACCTTCAACGAGGGCACTCATTTAATGACACTCTGTAGCCAAGAAGATAAAGCGGGATTTCTCCGAGCTGAAAGCCGTCCTCCTTCCATGGCAACAGGGTCAGACTCATCCTACACAGACAAGAAGCATTAGCATCTGATCTGCTTTATCCTGCAGCAACAGGAGCCCAAGTGCTTTATGGCGGAAAGCAGCCCTTGGTGTATCCGTGGAGACAGGGAGCTTCTCCTTGCTCAGCTTGTTCTAGGATCAGTATGTAAGCTTTGTTTCCAGCAGTGTTATTTGTGACAAATGCCTCCCCAAAGCCAGACTGCATCTGTTGACTGACGCCCAGTCCCCATCCTCCAGATTTCAATTAGCATGTACGTTTTAGCAGTCCTCTGAAAGAAACCCTTGTTGCAATACAACTAGCAATAGACTCCAAGCTGCTCACTCCAAACTTTCTTTGGAAGAACTAAATCACATATGTAATATTATGCAGATTTGGTCTTTTCCAGCACCATGGTTCTGTTATAGGCTAAAAGAAGGAACAGAAAATAGCCTTTTGTACTGATTGCCTTTGAATTGAGAGAGGGGATTGGCAAAGAAAGTTGGAGCCGGAAGTAATAAAGATTTGAGCTCCCTGTGGTTACACAGAAGCAGAGACAGCTTAGATGAAGTCCCATCTCTGCCAAATGAAATGACTGGATTTGAACTTGTCCAAGCAGAGCCCTCAGAAGATGAAGGATGCAGTACAATAGCAGCTTTCCTTCTGAAAATTGAAATGCAAAGTCGCCTAAATTTGAATAGGCAAAAGTAGTATTAGGGGTGTCCCCATGATTGACACTCACTATCACCCTTTTTCCTGCCTTAGGTCTTCAGCTCTCCCTCTCACCAGCACCATACCTGCCTCCCCTGCCTAAGTCTGAATGGAAATCTTTTAGCCAGTTCTCTTTAGAAAAGCTGAGACACTGGCATTTTTTTTTTACTTTTATTATTTTATTTTATTTTATTTTATTATTATTATTATACTTTAAGTTTTAGGGTACATGTGCACAATGTGCAGGTTAGTTACCTATGTATACATGTGCCATGCTGGTGTGCTGCACCCATTAACTCGTCAGTTAGCATTAGGTATATCTCCTCATGCTATCCCTCCCCCCTCCCCCCACCCCACAACAGTCCCCAGAGTGTGATGTTCCCCTTCCTGTGTCCATATGTTCTCATTGTTCAGTTCCCACCTATGAGTGAGAACATGCGGTGTTTGATTTTTTGTCTTTGCAATAGTTTACTGAGAATGATGATTTCCAATTTCATCCATGTCCCTACAAAGGACATGAACTCATCATTTTTTATGGCTGCATAGTATTCCATGGTGTATGTGTGCCACATTTTCTTAATCCAGTCTATCATTGTTGGACATTTGGGTTGGTTCCAAGTCTTTGCTATTGTGAATAGTGCTGCAATAAACATACGTGTGCCTGTGTCTTTATAGCAGCATGATTTATAGTCCTTTGGATATATACTCAGTAATGGGATGGCTGGGTCAAATGGTATTTCTAGTTCTAGATCCCTGAGGAATCACTACACTGACTTCCACAATGGTTGAGCTAGTTTACTGTCCCACCAACAGTGTAAAAGTGTTCCTATTTCTCCACATCCTCTCCAGCAGCTGTTGTTTCCTGACTTTTTAATGATTGCCATTCTAACTGGTGTGAGATGGTATCTCATTGTGGTTTTGATTTGCATTGCTCTGATGGCCAGTGATGGTGAGCATTTTTTCGTGTGTTTTTTGGCTGCATAAATGTCTTCTAAAGAATTTTATTAACTGCTGAGAAAAACACTAACAGAAAATACAAACAGAACTGAAACAAGTTTCTAAAGAATATCTGCTGATCCTACAATCACAGTCTCTCAGAGTCAAGAGAGACCATGGTACACACCTTTCACTTTTTCTCATTCCACTATCAAATAAAAAATGGTTGCACTAATTGTGAAATTGTGTGAAAAATCTACTTCACATATATTGACACTTTACATTTTCCACTTAACATTTCTATTAGAAATTGGTACTTTTTATAAGTTTCTAATGGATGTATTTATAATCTCTTGTGAAGCTAAGACCAGAAGTCTGAATTTGAGGAGGATCTGTGTGATAAGGCTTAACACAAATCCCCCTGCCCTCCATCACCCCATGAACATGTTAGAGTTCTGCTACCAAATGTTTGCCAAAGTCTCCGATATTGCCCCGGGGTTCCACTTTCTCAGCTTGTCAGATCTCCATGAGGGAGATTATTTCCCACCCGAGTGATGGGGTCTTGCCATGTCAGGACCCATTCAGTGTTCTCCAGTAGTAAAGAGACCAGGCTGAAATCATCCAGACCTCTAAGTTCCTGTCTTCCATGTGGAGAGACATGTGTACACAGGAGTAATATTTTTCTTCAGATGTAACTTACTTTACATCCCTGTATTAGTCCATTCTCACATTGCTATAAAGAACTACCTGAGACTCGGTAATTTATGAAGAAAAGAGGTTTAATTGATTCGCAGTTAGGCATGGCTGGAGAGGCCTCAGGAAACATACAGTCACGGTTGAAGGGTGAAGGGGAAGCAGGTACATCCTTACATGGTGGCAGAAGAGAGAGTGAAGGGGGAAGTGCTACACACTTTTAAACAACCAGATCTCCTGAAAACTCACTCAATATCACAAGAAGAGCAAGGGGAAAGTTTGCCTCCATGATCCAATCACCTCCCACCAGGTCCTCCCCCAACATTAGGAACTACAATTCAATATGAAGTTGGTGGGGACACAGAGCCAAACCATATCAATCCCACACAGAGGGAGGCTAATAGCACAAGGAAAGCTTCACCATTTAAATACTAGAGCCATAAAACAAGAACCAAGTAGTACCCAGCAGAGGGAGTCAGTCCCTTACCAGTAATACTTACTTTTAGTATTTCCCCACGCTCTGAATCAGGACTACCCATCCCCAATAACAGGCAGATTTTTCATACATTTCTCCAGGTTACAAGTGGGCTGACAGCCAGTCTCCTAATTTGCTACTTACAGAAAGCACTGTATTGCAACACTGGTTTAGAAATTTAGGTTTTTGTATATTTCTCTGAATAATCACATAGGAGCATACTAAACAATAGGATCTCTTCATAAAGTAGCTGCCTTTTCTTAACCATTCTCTCAATCTGGTATTGGACTCCAACTTCTGAGTTACCCACAACTGATAAACAGCCACAATAAAATATACGTTATTTCATGTAATATTCATTTTCAATATTGGCTGTTAATGTAACTGGGGCACAACTCTGGGGAGAAATTAGATGGAGTTGGGCAAGTTGACCAGCTCCATCTAATTTCTTCAAATTGACCTAGTGTCAGAAAGATAACAGTTGTTGGCATCTGTTGATAATCTATTTTACTCTGGGTACTATGCTAAACCCTTTACATGGGTTATATCATAGTCTTTATGGTCACCCTGGGTCAGATACTGATATTATCCTCATTTTACAAAAGTGGAAAACAGGCTTGGGACATTTAGGCAGTTTGCTCAGCTCTCAGCTTAATTAAGGTGATGACTAGGACTTGAACATAGCCTTAATCTCACCCTGGATTCTGTCCTCCTAACCAGAGGAGGTTAACTGGTTAACTGTACTCTATTCACAAAGACAAGTGGAACAATCTTGATTTTTGATCTCTAGGTTTTTGACCCCTTAATCTATTCCTGTATAATTTATGAAGTTCAAAAAAAATACAGCCAAGTTCAAGTAAGTAAAATATTCTGTATTTATTTATTAATCATCTAAGCATTTGGGTCTTAAGAATAATAATCACATCTGGAGATTTATTATAAAATATTCACAATTTGTAAATTTGGGTCTCCAATTCCTAAGCTCTGTGTGTTATTTCTGATGGATGATTACCTGATAAAGAGAGTATTAAGGCTGTTTGTTATTCACTCTTTTGAAGAGCCAAGTTATAGCCGTCACCAGTCTCTCTCAGACCTGTACTTACCAATAGCCTTTTGGCTCGAATTCTAAAGATATTTTTAAAGGGCATGAGAAAGAAACATAACAATAAATAAATAAATGCAAAACACTCCCATAAATCCAAAAAGGTCTTCGTACAAAGCAGTCTCAAATGCCACTGTATTTTTGACCTTCTGAATAGCAACCACTTATATTGTAAACAGAAGACTATCTAAAGGTTTGTAGAGCTATTGCAAACATTTTACACAGAGCTGAAAAAGCACACAAAAAAAGAACTTATGGTTTAAAAATACCTTTTATGAAATCTATTCTGTATCATTTCCACCAAGTGATTTTATAAATTATTATTCATAGCATAGACTTTCAAGGAGCAATTATGTATTTAGTTCTCCTTAACAAGTTAAATTATGAATTAGGAAAGACAAAAAGGTATTCTGTGTTTGCATCTGTGGAAAAGATCCCCACAGTGGCTCTTAAGTGTGTCCTGAGAATGACTTACCTGTGTAATTTATAAATAGGCAGATTAATAGCTCTCAGAAATTATGTGTAAGTTTTTTTAACATATTTGATAATAGTATCTTAATATTGTGAGTTTTTGGAAAGATATGAGTTTAATGACATATATCAGGCAATTTCACTCCCATAGTATCTCTTAGTCATGTTCTATAGAATCATTCTTTCAATATTTTGGGCAGGTTGCATAGGTTTCCTCTGCAAACCTATGGTCACATTTGGTTATAAAAAAGTTCAGTTCAAGTTAGTCCAAGTACAAATGTAACATATTGTTCAAATTAAATCATTTCCCTCTCCTTGGTTTACAGACTTGCTTTGAGAATGGGACTAGTCAGTCTTTCTCCCCTTGAATTTGATTTCTCACTTGGTTACTAACTAGTTTTGATTTGGTTTTATATATATATAAAACCAAATCATACAGGAATAGATTAAGAGGTCAAAAACCTAGAGATCAAAAATTAAGATCGTTCCACTTGTCTTTGTGAATAGAGCACAGTTAACCAGTTAACCTCCTCTGGTTAGGAGGACAGAATCCAGGGTCAGATTAAAGCTATGTTCAAATCCTAGTCATCTACCTTAATTAAGCTGACAGCTGAGCAAATTGCCTACATGTCCCAAGCCTGTTTTCCACTTTTGTAAAATGAGGAATATATATATAAACTTTTCTGGGCTGACATTAGAGATAGAGAAATAAAACTGTCTCTTAATCTAAAATAATCACAGTATGGTGGGAAACAAAGACAATGAAATAATGGTTTTATAATACCATGTTTTAAGAGCCACAATGAAGGGCTAATAATGAACATGGAAGTAATAATAAACATGCAATTTTATTATTAAAGTAATAATGAACATGGAAGTAAATTGTCAGAGTGGATTTTGTAGAGGAGAAGTTGGAACTGGGTTTTGAAATCTATTGTGAGGGTCAGGTAGAGAAAAGACATCCTGGGAATAAGCAGCAGCATTGCACACAGGCTAAGAAGACAGAGACAGTCTGATTTTTCAGAGAACCACAGGTAGATACTATGTAAAATAAATGATGGTCAACAGTATTGGAGAAGAAACTAAAAAACAGGCATTTATTGCATTGGGCCCAATTTCTAATGTTAACATTCAATTACTGTGGGTTTCTCTTCACCATATATGAAACACAGCAAAATCACATGTCATATAGGAGCTATTATGAGAACTTTGGGAGATTCAAAAAGAAAAGTCCATGGGATAGGAGTTCTTAAAGAAGACTTCAAAGTTTATTGAGGTGACTATCACCCACTCATTCTACTACCATTTACTGCCGCTAAACATGTGTAAACTATTTTTAACTTGTCAGGGGTTCAAAGATAAATGGCATAGTCTCCTATTGCAAGAAACTTATAGAGATTTTGAGGATGTAAAAATGTGGGAAGTGCCTTAGGAATGGCACAGAATGCACTGATTTCAGAGTAGGAGGTCATCATTTTGAAATAAGAGATCAGGTACAGCTTTATTTTTGTGATAGCAAGGACGTTTGACTGAAGCCTTGACAAGTGAATATAATGGTAATAGGTTAGGGCAAGAGCTGAAGCAAAAGCATAGAGGTGAGCAAACATAGACATACCAGGATTGCGGTAAGAGGTCTGGCCCACGTAAGAGAGGAGGGGAAATACAAGTGGGAAGTATATTGTGAATGAGAATAGATGGCCTTGAATGCCAGGCGGAACATTTTCATTGGTTAGCGGTGGAGACTCACTGTCAATCTTTTTTGAATAGAAAAATAACAAAGAGAATGTGCCATGAACTTACTATGGCAACAGTGTGATGGGTGCATTGAAGAGATGGGATATTCAGAGTAGTTTAAACAAGTGTTGCAAGAGCCCAAGAGACAAGTTATGAGGGTAACAGATAAGTGTTACATGATGATAGTAGAGGAGGAGTGATAAAATATGTCACTAAGACATAAATCAGAGTAACAACTGGTCGTAAGTTGAGAAGATGAGTGCTGCCTACATTAAGCTGTATCCTATATTTATGATAAGAGTTGGTTGAGCTATGGCACACAGATACGTATGTGAATAGCTTCATTACATGTGTTGGCAACTATGAGTGAATTACATGAAACAACTAGATGATTAGTTGGTCACCCAGTGGGTGTACTATGTGAAAAAGAAAGAATTCAAAAAAGTAGGCCTTCAAGCAACAAAACTTTCTCTGGACAGGTGTGTTCTAGGTTTGAATTGCATGAGCACACTCAGGTACACAGGTCCTGGCATTCACACACTGCATGCAGTATGTTTTATAAGAAGATTGGCAAGGACTAGTACTGCTTTGCCAAAACTGTTTTTGGCAAATTATTTAGATAAAGGAAACCTATGATAATTGAATGTTAACATTTTCTAATTATTTAGATAAAGTTTTTATGAACATGGAAGTTATAATTCACATGGAAGTAATAGTGAACATGGAAGTCAATCATTCAAAGGAAACTTTGGGTCCTCTTGTGGGTTGACTGAGGCAGCTCTCTCAGTTTCTCAGTCCCTTACTAGAGTGTAATGAATCCAAGAATCTATTCTAGTGGACTTTACTGCCATAGCAGTAGAAAGAAGTTAGTACAGTGTAAGGTCCCTCCCAATCTGGGCCTATAGAGGGAGAAAGGGAAAGAAGTACCTTTACCAGCATTAGGTCCCCTGGGTTGAATAGAGGTGGCCCTAGTTCATGGGAATGGGCCTCTGACAGTTGTTTCAGTTCCTATTAGAAATGAGCCAAAGAAGTTATATGTTTATTGAATCAGAGGTTTCTTGGTCTAGCAAGAAATCATTGGTGAGAAAAGGCCATTCATACATCATTTCAAAGGGACTTAAATCTAGCTTTGAAAGGGTGTTTCTAAAATGTAATAGGGTTATGGGAAGAAGGGGTAGTCCAGGGCAGATGAGTCTCCTGAGACAGTTTCCTGAGGTGCCTTTTGATAATATCATTTGTCTTTTCTACCTTTCCTGAGGATTGTGGTGTCCACGCACAATGAAGATGGTATTGTGTGCCTGGTGCCTTTGAGACTCTCTGGGTCACAGCCACCTTGAACAAGGGGCTACTATTGCTCTGGAGGTACGTGGGGAATCCAAAGTGAGGAATTATCTTGTTAACTAATACTTTTATCACCTCAGAGGCTCTCTCTGACTGACATGTAAAGAAATGCTTCTATCCAGTTAGTGAAGGTATCTACCCATACTAGGAGGTACTGGATGCCTCTTGTCTTTGGCATATGGGTGAAATCCATTTGCCAGTCTTCTCCCAGGTAGCACCTTGTCCTTTGGGTTCTGGGAGAAAGAAGCCATCCATTGAGGGGATTATTTTTAAGGCAAATCTTGCAAGCATTAACAACCTGTTGACTGTTTCTGGCAGATTTTCACCTGAGAACAATCTCTAGGCCAATTGATAGGTTTTATCCTTACCAAAGTGGAAATCCTGGTGAAGGATTTTAAGAAATTTCCATTGGCTGGTAGCTGGTGGATGAAGCTTGCCATCCTCCAACTGTAACCATCCTGAGGGCTGCAAGATGTATCCCCAAGAGATTCTATTTCTGCGAGAGAAATATTGAGGTTTTATTTCTCTTATGGAGCCCTCCCAGATTAGAAGGGCTTCAAGTGGATTAGAAATCTGGTGCCCTCTCACTGCTGATTTAGCTGCTTGGTCTGCCAACCTATTTCCCTTGGCTATTTCATCAGCCCCCTTCTGGTGGCCTTCACAATGTATTACCGCCACTTCCTGTGGGAGGAAAACCAAGGATAATAGTCTATTAATTTCCTGATGGTATTTAATGGGAGACCCATTAGCTGTGAGGAAGTTCCTCTCTTTCCAGATAGTGGCATGGGTATAGAGGACTAGGAAAGCATACTTAGAATCAGTGTAAATATTAACTTATTTCCCTTTGCTTAATTTGATCACTCTTGTTTGGGCAGTTAGCTTGGCTAATTGAGCACTTATACTCAAGGAAAGAGATGTGCTCTCCACAATATCATTCAGCATAACTATTGTATACCCTGCTTTATGGATCCCTTGTTCTACAAAAGAACTTCCATCAGTAAGGAGAATCCACTCTGAGTTCTCTAAGAGGGTTTCCTTAAGGTCCTCTCTGGCCGCATAGGTTTGTACTACTATCTGTTTGCAGTTATGTTCAAGCTCCCCAGCTTACTCTGGGAGGAAGGTGGCTGGATTTAGGGAGGGACACGTTCTTAATTGGCCTGCAGATCTCTGTAATAGCAGAGCTTGATATCTGTGGAAGCAGTTATCCATTAGCCAGAGACTCCCCTTAGAAGACAGCAGTCCTGCCACATTATGTGGGGTATAAACACTTAAGTTATTCTCCATGATTAACTTAATAGCCTCTAGTACCAGCAAGACTACCACTGCAATTGCCCGGAGGCAGGCCAGCCATCCTTTAGCTACTAAATCAAGCTCCTTACTTAGCCTACAGGCTGCTGGGCTGGATCTCAGGCCTGGATTAGAACTCCCAGGGTCATTCCCTTTCTTTCTGACACATAAAGATTAAATGTCTTCCCTATGGAAAGACTAAGGGCTGGTGCCTCGAGCAAGGCTTGTATTAATTGGTCAAAGTCCTTTTTAGCCTCTGGTTCCCAAGTTAGGGAATGAGTTTTAGATGCCTGAGTCTCCTTTATTAGGTGATATAAGGGATGAGCCATATCACTGTACCCAGGTATGCATAGTCTGCAGAATCCTGTAATGCCCAAGAATCCCCTCAGTTGCTTAAGGGTTTGGGGGAGGGGAAAGAAGAGATGGGCTTAATCCTTTCTTCACCCAATGCCCTGGTCTCCTCTGACAAGACCAGCCCTAGGTACTTCACTGAAGTCTGACAGAGCTGAGCTTTAGATTTTGAAACCTTGTGTTCTCTGTTAGCTAGAAAATTAAGAAGAGCCTTACTGACCTCCTGAGAGAGTTCCTCAGTTGAGGCACAGAGGAGAATGTCATCTACTAATTGTGAAACTTTAACCTGAGGATAAAGGAACTCAGAGAGGTCTTTGGACAATGCCTGCCCAAATAGGTGGGGGCTGTTGCAGAATCCCTGAGGTAACACTGTCCAGGTTAGCTGGGTGGTCTGGTTGGAGGGATCCTCAAATGCAAATACCGGGAGTCAGTGTGTAATTGTATGCAGAAAAAGGCATTCTTTATGTCCAGGACTGTGAACCATTTAGTTCCCTCAGGTATTTGAGTTATCAGGGTATACAGATTGGGAACCACTGGGTGAATTGGGTCCACAGCCTCATTAACGAGGCAGAAGTTCTGGACTGGTCTCCATTCCCTGTTGGGTTTTTGTACCCTCAATATCGGGGTATTACAAGGACTATTGTAGGGTTTGAGCAGGCGTTGCATCTTCAAGTTATCAATGATGGCTTCTAGTCCTTTCCCAACTTCTGGTTTCAGGGGATGTTGTCTCTGGTGGAAAGGAGGTTGGGACCCTTAAGGGGGATCTGGACCAGTATGGGGGTTATAGCTTGGCCAATTTTACCTTGAATTGCCCAAACTTCTGTGTTAATATTGGTCTCCACTAGGGGGAGACAAATAGTTTGTCCTGGGGCCATCAGGATGTGGTCCCCATACGGGCCAGAATATCCCTGGTCAACAAAGGAGTTGGGCTTTCAGGCATCATTAGAAAGGCATGGGTGAAAAAGAGGTTTCCTCATCTACAACTAAGGGGTTAGGAAAAATATCAGGTTAACAACTTCCCTGAGACGTGCCTCATGGTTGTGCTAAGAGAGGATGGGGGACCCTGGTTGGAGAGAACCGAAAGGTCCACTCTGGTGTCCAGGAGGAGGTCCACCTTCCTCCCTTCAATTACCAGAATCACCTGGAGGCTCCTGTATGGTAATGGTCATCTGGACCATTGGAGCCAGGGAGAGGAGCCCTGGAACCTGTTGGTCTTGCTGGACCATTTGTGAGACTGGCTCTGGACTTGGTGACCTGCATCTCCAGGGACAGTCCGCCCTTCAGTGGTCCCCATTACAGATTGGACAGGGTCGAGGTGGCTCCCTCATGCTGTCAGGACAGTCTTTACTAAAATGCCATGGCTTGCCACATTTGTAGCAGTTGGTAGGTGCATTCCAGGGATTCTGGAGCTTGTGGGCCTGAAACGAGGCCATTAAAGCCTCTGCCTTTTTCTTGTGTCTCCTCTCTCTCCTGGGCCTCCTCTCTATCTCTATTGTAAAAGTCCTAGATGGCCACTTTCAGGAGGTTCTGTAAAGCACTGTCTTGTCCCATGACCTGTTTCTGCAGCTTTCTCCTGATATCAGGGCCTCCCTGAGTAATAAATTAATTGTCCCTTGACTGAATCAGGAGATAGAGACATGTGTTTTACCAAGGCCCCCCTTAGCTTTTCCAGGAAGGCAGTGGGATTCCCATCAAATTCCTGGTCTATCATAGATAGTTTGGAGTAGTTGAGAGGCCTAGATCTAGGCCTGTGTAAGCCCCTCCAGTAGGCGCACCTGAAAATATTTCCCCTTCCATTCTCCCATTTCATTATTGGGACCCCATTTAGGGTCATCCACTGGTACTGCTTCTCTTCCAATTGGATAAGGCTCATCTCCTTCCCTGATACTATATGAGATACAAAGCTCATCCCCAAATCTTTCTGCCACTTGCAGATCATCCTGCTTCTCATTGTTAATCAGAGTTTGATTCAAAAGTAACATAACATCTTTCCAGGAGAGTTCAAATACTTGGTTTAAGTTCTGGAAAGCCTCTATATACCTGTCAAGGTCATCTGAAAATTTGCCAAGATTCCCCTTAATTTGCCTTAAGTCCTGTAGAGAGAAGGGGACCTGGACCTTACTAGGGCCATATTCACTAGGCATCTGTCATAGGGGCAGGAGTGAGACTGGTGCCTGTCTAGAGTGAGGATTTCTAGGAGGGGACAAGCTAGAGGAGAAACTCCTCCTGGGTGGACCCAGTGAGGCAGGGCTGGAGGGAGCCTGTTCTCCTCCTGGAGATGCCTCTGGGGTTTGTTTCTTTAGTTTTCTGGGATTGTCTCTTGCAGCCTTACCTGAGCTGGCCAACAGGAGGGTTGGATCAGTCTTATAATGTTGGCAAAGATCTGGATTACCCTGCAAGGTAAAGAAAGCCTGTACATATGGGGCCTTGGACCATCTGCCCTCATGTTTAAAGAAAAGTTCCAGCTGCAGGATGGTGTTGAAATGAATGGTTCCTTCCTGAGGCCAAGCAAGTCCTTCCCGCAAATCATACTTTGGCCAGACCTTTGTGTAAAGGGCTATGAGACATACTTTCTCCATAGTCTGAGGGCCAAAGCAGTCCTAGTTGTTTAGGATACACTCCAGAGGAATGTAGATGGAAGATGGCTGGTTACCCATTTGAAAGAGAGAGGGAACTAGGCATCCCTTAGTTCCTTTCTCTCTTTGAGTGAAAATCTGGGGTGCGTGAGGGAGAGAAAAAAGGGTGTCCCCTTTTTCCTTCCATCTTTTTATCCCTGAGCCTCAGTGACCTAGACAGATGCCACCTATGGATGCCAATGGGATCTGCACCCATGAAGCATGGAGCCTACAAGGCAGATTATTCTCACTTACCTATGCTGTCTATCCTCCCTACTGTCAGTAAGCTACGAGTTCCCTAGACCTCATTTATTCCATGGATACTAACATGACCTCTATCCATGAAACGAGGGCTTAAGCAGCAGGAATTAGTCCTGCCCACCTATGCTGTGTCCCTTTGCTTCCACTGTCATCTGCCTGGGGATCCCTCAGATCTAGTTTTCCTTTCTTAGTTTTTTTTTTTTTTTTCTTTGAGATGGAGTCTCGCTCTGTCACCAGGCTGGAGTGCAGTGGCGTGATCTTGGCTCACTGCAACATCCACCTCCTGGCTTCAAGCGATTCTCGTGCCCCAGCCTCCCAAGTAGCTGGGATTACAGGCATGCGTCACCACACACAGCTAATTTTTGTATTTTTAGTAGAGACGTGGTTTCACCATGTTGGCCAGGATGGTCTTGATCTCCTGACCTCGTGATCTACCCTCCTCTGCCTCCCAAAGTGCTGGGATTACAGGTGTGAGCCACCACGCCCAGACACTAGTTTTCCTTTCTAAGGCTTCAACCTGAAGCTTGGAATTGAGTTTGGGACAATAAGATCTCTCAGGGGTGCATGGATTCATTTAAATTAAATCCCAGATGGTCCTTGCCAAATTTGCTGCCAACAGCTGTGGGGGGTCGCTCCTCTGTTGCTTCTCTAACATAAGCAGAGTGCTAAGGTGAGGAAGAAAACCCTCTCACATAGAAAAAATCCTGGTATTTGCAGGGCTGTGTAAACTCCTGACGTGGTGGACAAAAGAAAAAAAGAAAAAAACAGCTTAAGTGCAGGGGTTTGGGAGGAAGTTCCTGGAGAAAAAAACATTTTCCTCTATGCACATGGGTTCCTTCAGCAGGGGAGGACTCTTAATCATTGTACCCTCCTTGCCTCTAAGAACAGATGGAAATTGCATTGTTCTGTACTGCATATCTGATGGTGTCGCCAAATGCTCATTCTACCTAGTAATATTTCACAGTTTGTAGTAACATCCTTAACATTATAAAAGAAGAGGTAGAAGCCATTTCAAACCATGAAAGAAGGAATGAAAATACTATAAAAAAAAGTCTGGGGGTCTGGGCTGATGCCCCAATGGGTGGTTGGGGAGGGAGCCAAGTCTAGGGGCCTTCCAGCAATGCTGAGGAGTGGCCTCAGCCTGATGACTTCAGTTGCCCCAGGACATGATTCCAGTCCCATGCGATGGCTAGACCTCCATGAAGTGAAAAAAAAACCAACAACAGCAACATTCCTTTTACCCAAAAGAAAGAGAGAACTGGGAGGGCTGCATCCTGTCTTCTGTAGCTGTGTCATTTGCCCTTAACTGGCCACTCAAAGGTTCGATGCTTCATGTGCCTTCAGAAGAAAGTCTGAGGACAAGAAGTCTTGGAAAAAAAAAAAGGTGAAGAGTCAGATCTGCATTTACTCACCCTCCCGAGGTGAGAATCCCGGGCAAGCCCCCAGATGATGCAGGTTTTTCCTGGCCTCTTTTGTCGAACTCCTGACAGGGGTGAGTGTTTACTCGGCCCACCACACTGAACCCCTTGCATGAGGCAGCATGTAGGCATGCAAGCCTGGGTCACGGCCAGCTGCTCCGGGTGCATGCAGGAGCAAGCTCCATGCGAGGCCCACAGCCAGGCCAGGCGTGAGCAAGCAAGTGCGGGATCTGGCTGGCTGCTCTGGGTGCTGGTAGGAGCAAGCTCCATGCGGCACCCAGAGCAGCATCCGGGCCTGGGTGCCTGTGACCCCGAAACCCCAAAAGAAGTTTTACAGTGCTCTCTTAGGTCCACCATCCATAGACAGCTGTATGTTAACAGCTCAATTGGCCGCTTACCTTGTTGCATGGGGGCTGACTGCTGCCAGCAAGTGCAAAAGGCCAGTGTGACAGCCTTTTTGGGTCTCAAGCTCTTGTCCATCATCCAAGGATAATGAGGTTGCACAGACACTTGAAGGATGGTGAAGGTGGAGAATTGTATTGAGTGGTGGAAATGTCTCTCAGTGGAGTGGGGAGCTGGAGAAGGGGACAGGAAGGGCAGGTAGGCTTCCCTGAAGTCAGGTCGTCTTCTCCCCGAAGTCAGGCTATCCCTTCCCTGAAGTCAAGCCATCTTCCTTCTCCAAAGCCATCTCTTTCCTCTCTACCGACCGAGCCTGGGGTCTTTATAGGCACAGGACTGGGACAGGGTTGTAGGTAGTTTTGGAAAAGGCAACATTTGATTAGTAAAAAGACATTATTCAGGAAAAAACAATTGGGAGAGAGTGGGCAAATAGGAATAGAAGTTCCCATTTTGGGCCACATGTTTCAGGCTACTTTGGCTTGAAGGTCGGGTTTCACTGAGCATCACGCCTGCCTTAGAATTTCTCTGCCTCCTGCCGCTATCAATTTTATCCAGAGAATGTAGTATCTTTATAGGAAGAAAGAGCTACTGTCATTCTCCCACATTAGATTGAACCATAAAAAAATTACTGTTGTGGGAAACAAAAATGGTAATTTATCAGAATGGTTCAACCTCTACATCCCTAGTAAGAGTGACAGAAAGAATGTTGAGTAAAGAACAAAGAAACCCAAGTTCTGGTTCTGATTTACCCATTAGCTAGACATGATTATTATCACTCAGTTCGATTTCAAAGCTTGTAACAAATCAAGAATCACAGAATTATAGAGCCAAGAGAGACCAAAGATGGAAGATTTTTTATCAGAATAGGCAGCTATTATTAATGAAAGTATTATCACTCATTCAATAATATCAGTTATTTGGACTGTAGATTGTACTGGTGAAGGACATAGACTGTAAAGCCGGATTGCATTGGTTTAGACCCCGGCTCCATCACTTACTATCAAATTGGGAAATAAACCTTTGTGCTTCACAGGTTCTTAATCTGCAATATGAAGATAATAAAAGCAACACTTTATTGGATTGTTGTGCGAATTAAAAGAGTAAATATTAAAATATATAAAATTTTAAAATTTATATAACATTACTACATACTAATGTACCTGTACTTATTATTATTGCTATTGTAAAGAAGTTCTTTGCTAGAAGAGTCCTGCTACCTTCACTTTTCATTTAGTTTCAATGGACTAGTGCTAAACTGTCTATGGTCAACTTTGAGACCATGAACAAATCCCTGGGGATGGGAATCAATAATGACAGTAGCTAATTGTGATGCTTGAACAAGGGGAATCTTAATGGAAACAAATCAGTGGTATCAAGGAATGAGATAAATGCCCAACTGAAGAAGTTTAAAATGGAAAATAACAAGGGCTAAATTACACTTCAAAATTTTCAATCGAATCATCAGCCAGTAGAGAACAGGGCGTTTTATTACAGAAAAGTAACCAAGCAACTATCGTACAGAAAGCTGCCATGTTTCAGGGGGTACTGATGGAGTGGAAAGCTCTTAGGTAACATTAAGACCAATTAACAACTGTATATACTCAGTAGTCATTTTAGCCAAGGGGAAGTGAAAAGAAACTATTGAAATCTGAGAATATGGGAGTAAAGGGAGAAATCAGCTTCAAGGTCAGCCACTAGTTAAAAAAAAAAAAAAAAAAATCAGTTTTGCTTTTCAGTCTTTTGCCTTTTTATTTGTTTTCTGCCATTTATCCCTGCCCTTACTTCAAAGGTAACTTTCAGCTCTCCCAGCCACAAATGCTCACCAGATTGCTGCAAAATAGAAAATGCTCATGACTCTTGGTATGTAGCAGACAGTGAGAGACAGCTTTACATATAGGCCCTCTTTCTACAAAAGAAGTTTGCATAAAAAAAGCTTTGAGCAGAATATCTAAAAAGTGAACAATGAACCTTATTCTAAATTTTGAAGATTAACATTTGCTTACTGAAATAAGTCTTGTCATTTGGTTTGCTGCCGCTGATGGTGGCATTGAGGCCAACAATCAATAAACTCATTAGGATTTACAAGCATCTTTGATTAATACTCCTTGTCTAATTCCCTGAGAAATGTGCTATATCTTGTAGCTTAATGAAGACAAGGCTGAGTTATTTAGGTGTTTGTTAGTGAGCCTTATTTGCATGTAATTAGCTAGATTCTTTGTTTATAGCAAGCCGTAAAAACTTTGTATCAATAGATCCATTTCCACCAAGTTCTATATGGTTAACCAAATGCTTTTGTTCCACTAGAAACTTTGATTGAAAGGAGGAAAGTTTTTATCGATTAAAAAACACACACCCATAGAAAAATGGATTGGAGTCTTTATTTATTGAGAGAAATTTTCATATTACTTTTTTAAAAAAATGAATAAACTTATATTTAGAGAAATTTTAGATTCTCTGCAAAATTCAGAGAAAAGTACAGAACATTCCCATATTCTCCATGTTCCCAATAAGCACAATTTCTCCCACCATCAGCATTCCACACCAGAGTAGTACATTTGTTACAATCTATGAACCCACATTGACACTTCATTTTAACCCCCAGTCAATAGTTGACATTAGAGTTCACACTGGTGGTGTATATTCTATGGGATTTGAAAAAAATATAATTACATGTATCTATCATTACAGTATCATACATACTAGTTTAGTTGCCATAAAAATCCTCTGTGATCTGTCTGTTCATCCTTCCCTCCCCACCTAGCCCCTGACAACCATAAATCTTTTTACATCTTCATAGTTTTGCCTTGTCCAGGATGTTATATAGTTAGGATCGTGCAGTATGTAGATTTTACAGATGGGCGTTGTTCATGTAGAAATGTTTATTTAAGTTTCTTCCATGTCTTTTCATGGCCTCATAGCTGATTTCTTTTTAGCATTAAGTACTATTTGATTTTCAGGATGTGCCACAGTTTATGCCTTCATCTACTGAAGGACAACTTGGTTGTTTCCAAGGTTTGTCAATTATGAGTAAAACCACTATTTACAGATAAATATCTGTAAAGGTTTCAATTCATTTGGGTAAATATCAAGGAGCAAGATTTCTGGATCATATGGTAAGAGTCTAGTTTTGTAAGAAACTGCCAAATTGTTTTTCAAAGTGTTTGTACCATTCCGTATTCCCAACAGCAATGAATGAGATTTCCTGTGGTGTCACATTCTCATCAGCATTTGGTGATATCAGTATTCTGGGTTTTGGCCATTCTTTTTTTTTTTTTTTTTTTTCTGAGACAGAGTGTCACTCTGTTGCCCGGGCTGGAGTGCAGTGGCACGATCTCGGCTCACTGCCAGCTCTGCCTCCCGAGTTCACACCATTCTCCTGCCTCAGCCACCCAAGTAGCTGGGACTACAGGCGCCCGCCACCACCCCCAGCCATTTTTTTTTTATTTTTAGTAGAGACGGGTTTCACCATGTTAACCAGGATGGTCTCGATCTCCTGACCTCATGATCCGCCCGCCTCGGCCTCCCAAAGTGCTGGGATCACAAGCGTGAGCCACCGCGCCCGGCCGGATTTTGGCCATTCTAATAGGTATGTAATGCTATTTCTATTTCAATGTGCAATTCCCTAATGACATATGATATTGAACATCTTTTCATATTCTTGCTTCATATCTGTATGCTTCTTTGGTGAGGTTTCCAGATTATTTTTCTATTTCTAAATTAGGTGGCTCATTGTCTTGCTGTTAGGTGTTAAAACTTTTTTGCATATTTTGAATAACAGTCCTTTATCAGATAGGTCTTTTCAAAATACTTTCTCCAAGAGACTGTGGCTTGTCTTTTTTGCTTGTCATTGTTTTGCACAAAGCAGAAAATTTTAATTTTAATGAAGTCCACCTTATCAGTTATTTCTTTCAGCGATTGTATACACCTTTGGTGTTGTATCTAAAAAGTCATCACTGAAACCGAGGTCACCTAGGTTTCTCCTGTTATCATTCAAGAGTTTTATAGGTTTGCATCTTACATTTAGATCTGTGATCCATTTTGAGTTAATGTTTGTCAAGGGTGTAAAGTATGTGTCTAGATTCTTTGGTTTGCAAGTGTGTGTCCAATAGTTCTGGTACCATTTGTTGAAATAATTATCTTTGTTCCATTGTATTGTGCCTTTTCAAAGATCACTTGGTTATATTTACATTAATTTCTGGTCTCTCTATTCTGTTCCACTGATCTGCTTGTCTTTTCTTTTTGCCAATACCACCTCCCTTCATCACTGTAACTTTATAGTAACTCTTAAAGTCAGGGAGTGTCAGTACTCTGACTTTGTTCTTCTTCTTCCATATTGAGTTGACTATTCTAAGTAGGTCTATTGCCTGTTCACATAAATTTTGGAATCAGCTTATCAATAACCACAAAATAACTTGCTGAGACTTTGATTGGCATTGCATTTAATATATAGATCAAGCTGGAAAGTACTGAAATCTTGCCAGTAGTGAATCATTCTATCCATAAACATGAAATATCTATTCATTTACTCAGTTCTTATTTGATATCTTTAATCAGAGTTTTGTAGATTTCCTCATATAGATCTTGTACTTTTTGAATAGTTATACTTAAGTATTTCATTTTTGAGGGTGCTAATGTAAATAATAATGAGTTTTTAATTTCAAATTCCGTTTGTTCATTGCTTGTATATAGGAAAATAATTAACTTTTTTATATTAATCTTGTGTCTTGAAATCTTGTTATATTCACTTATTAGTTCCAGAAGTTTTTAATTATTTCAGATTTTCTATATAATCATGTCATATATAAACAACAAGTTTTATTCCTTCCCAATTTTTATACATTTTATTTCCTTTTCTTATTGCATTATCTGGGAATTTCAGTGCAATGTTGAAAAGCAATAGTGAGAGCTGACATTCTTGCCTTGTTCCTGATCTTAGCAGAAAATCTTCGGTTTCTCATTATTAAGAATTGTGTTAGCTGTACTTTTTTTTTTTTTTTTTTGGTAGATGTTTTTTGTCATGTTGAAGAAGTTTTCCTCTATTCCTAGTTTGCTGAAAGTTTTTGTCATGAATGGCTGTTGAATTTTGCCAAATGCTTTTTCTTCATCTGTTGATATAATCATGTGATTTTTCTTCTTTGGCTTCTTGATGGGGTGAATTACATTAATCGACTTTCAAATGTTGAACCAGCCTTGTATATCTGGAATAAATCTCACTTGCTTATTGTGTCTGATTCTTTTTATTCATTATTGGATTCAATTTGCTAATTTTTCTAATGATTTTTGCATCTATGTTTGTGAGAGATATTAGTCTGTGATTTTCCTTTCATGCAATGTCTTTGTATGGTTTTAGTTTTAGGATAAGGCTGGCCTGAGATAACGAATTAGGAAATATTCCCTCAACTTCTATCTTCCGGGTAGAATTCCTCAGTAAACCTATCTGGGCTTAATGCTTTTCATTTTTTGGAAGGTTTTGAATTATTGATCAGATTTCTTAATAGATATAGTCCTATTCAAATTGTTTATTTTTTCATATGTGATTTTTGGCAGATTGTGTCTTTCAAGGAATTGGTCCATTTCATCTAAGTTATCTAATTAGTGAACATAGAGTTATTTGTAATATTCTTTTATTATCATTTTAATTTCCATGGGGTCTGTAGTGGTGTTCCCTCTTTCACTTGAGATTATTAGTAATTTTGTTAATTTTTTTCTTTGTCTGGCTAAAGGCTTATCAATTCAATTAGTCTTTTCAAAGAACCAGCTTTTGGTTTTGTTGATTTTCTGTATGAATTTCTGTTTTCAATGTTATTGATTTCTGCTTTAATATTTATTATATTTTTGCTTCTGATTACTTTGGATTTAATTTGCTCCTCTTTTTCTAGTTTTTTTTTTTTTAGGTAGAATCTTATATTATTGATTTTATATTTTTCTTCTTTACTAATATATGTATTTAATACTATGAATTTTTCTGTAAGCACTACATTTACTATATCCCACAAGTTTTGATAAGTTGTATGTTTATTTTCATTTACTTCAGTATATTTTTAAAATTTTTCTTGAAATTTCTTCTTTGACCTATGTGTTATTCAGGAGCTTGCTGTTTAATCTCCAAATATTTTGGAATTTTCCAGCTGTCTTTATGTTACTGATTTCTAGTTTAATTCTTATCTAAGAGATGCTGTATGATTTCTATTATTTTAAATTTGATAAGGTGTACTTTATGGCTGAGAATGTGATCTATCTTGATGAATGTTCAATATGAGCTTGAGAAGACTGTGTAATCTGCAGTTGCTGGATGAAGTAGTCTATAGGTGTTAACTATATTCAGTGGATTGATGGTGCTGTTAATTTCAACAAATTTTCTGTCTGATTAATCTATTTTTGATAGGAGGGTGTTAAGGTCTCCAACTATAATAGTGGATCCATTTATCACTTCTTGTGATAATAATATCTTTTTGCTTTACATGTTGTAATGCTTTGTTGTTAGGCACATCCAAATAAGGAATATTTTGTCTCCTTGGATAGTTGACCCTTTATCATTATGTGATGCTCCTCCTTTCCCTGGTAACTTTCCTTGTCTGAAATTAACATAGCTACTCCTGCTTTCTTTTGACTCATGTTAGCATGGTGTACCTTTATCCATCTCTTTATTTTATTCTATATGTGTCTGTATTTAAAGTGAATTTCTTATAAACAATATATAATCAAGTCATCTTTTTTATATACTTTGATAATCTTTTAATTTGTGTATTTCGACTATTGATGTTTAAGATGTTTATTGATGTAGTTGGATTACTATTGACTGTATTTGTTACTGTTTTCTATTTGCCACTCTCATTCATTTTTGCTATTTTGTCTTCATACTTTTTTGGCTTCTTGTGATTTTAATTAAGCATTGTAAATGTTTCTATGTTCTCTCTTTTCTTAGCATATCAATTATACTTTTTAAAAACCATTTTAGTGCTTGCCCTAGAGTTTTCAATAAATTAGGTTAGTGCAGACATAATTGTGCTTTTTGCCATTAGAAGTAACGGCACACACCTGATACATTTACAACCAATCGAAGTCCACTTTTGAACAGATCTATCCTGTTTCATCACTAGTATTTTATCATAATAAAATAGTTTTCATTCTTTCCCCTTATGCCTGTGTCATTGCTGTCATTTATTTCGCTTACCTATAAGCATATAAATATATGTTTGAAATATATGTAAACTAAAATACATTGTTGCTGTTGGTATTTGAAGAAACTGTTAACTGTTAGATCAACAAAGAGTAATAAAAATAAAAGTTTTTATTTTACCTTCACTGATTCATTTCCCTAGGCTCTTCTTTTCTTTGGGCTCTGGTAAAATAGTTTCTCTTGAGGGCAGGCTTTGTTAAGAACAGAAAATTGTGATATATTCCAAAATGGTTACTTTCCCCCTCCTCTTGCCTGAAACACTGGAGGATTTTTCTCTGATACTCACTGTGAGAATCTGGTTGATCGTTGGAAGGTAAATCTCACAATATTGTGGAGTGTCCCTATGACTCTGTTCTCCATGAAGTTTTTAACTCTTATAGATGTCCATGCTGAGCTTCCAACAAATTCATCAATTATACTTCAGGTTCTTCTGTCCCAGTACTGGTTCCCATAGAGATTTCTGCTCATAGATTTCTACTTGGAAGGTTGTGGTTCTCTGTATTCACCTGTCTGTCTCTAATTTGGGGGAAATGGTTTGCCCTGTGATCTCATTTCTCTGATGAATCCAGGAAGAGTTGATTTTTCACTTTGGTCAGTTTTTACTTGTAAGGGCAGACCTTTAAACTTCTTATATGCCAGTCTGGAAGCCTATTTCTACCTTTTGATGTCATTTTTCATATTTTTGTATTTTATTTTATTTTATTATTATACTTTAAGTTTTAGGGTACATGTGCACAATGTGCAGGTTTGTTACATATGTATATATGTGCCATGTTGGTGTGCTGCACCCATTAACTCATCATTTAACATTAGGTATATCTCCTACTGCTATCTGTCCCCCCTCCCCTACCCCATAACAGTCCCCAGTGTGTGATGTTCCCCTTCCTGTGTCCAAGTGTTCTCATTGTTCAATTCCCACCTATGAGTGAGAACATGCAATGTTTGGGTTTTTGTCCTTGCGACAGTTTGCTGAGAATGATGGTTTCCAGTTTCATCCATGTCCCTACAAAGGACATGAACTCTTCATTTTTTTACGGCTGCATAGTATTCCATGGTGTATATGTGCCACATTTTCTTAATCCAGTCTATCATTGTTGGACATTTGGGTTGGTTCCAAGTCTTTGCTATTGTGAATATTGCGGCTATAAACATATGTGTGCATGTGTTTTTATAGCAGCATCATTTATAATCCTTTGGGTATATACCCAGTAATGGGATGACTGGGTCAAATGGTATTTCTAGTTCAAGATCCCTGAGGAATCGCCACACTGACGTCCACAATGGTTGAACTAGTTTACAGTCCCACCAACAGTGTAAAAGTGTTCCTATTTCTCTACATCCTCTCCAGCACCTGTTGTTTCCTGACTTTTTAATGATTGCCATTCTAACTGGTGTGAGATGGTATCTCATTGTGGTTTTGATTTGCATTTCTCTGATGGCCAGTGATGATGAGCATTTTTTCATGTGTTTTTTGGCTGCATAAAGGTCTTCTTTTGAGAAGTGTCTGTTCATATCCTTTGCCCACTTTTTGATGGGGTTGTTTTTTTCTTGTAAATTTGTTTGAGTTCATTGTAGATTCTGGATATTAGCCCTTTGTCAGATGAGTAGATTGCAAAAATTTTCTCCCATTCTGTAGGTTGCCTGTTCACTCTGATGGTGCTTTCTTTTGCTGTGCAGAAGCTCTTGAGTTTAATTAGATCCCATTTGTCAATTTTGGCTTTTGTTGCCATTGCTTTTGGTGTTTTAGACATGAAGTCCTTGCCCATGCCTATGTCCTGAATGGTATTGCCTAGGTTTTCTTCTAGGGCTTTTATGGTTTTAGGTCTAACGTTTAAGTCTTTAATCCATCTTGAATTAATTTTTGTATAAGGTGTAAGGAAGGGATCCAGTTTCAGCTTTCTACATATGTCTAGCCAATTTTCCCAGCAGCATTTATTAAATAGGGAATCGTTTCCCGATTTCTTGTTTTTGTCAGGTTTGTCAAAGATCAGATAGTTGTAGATATGCGGCATTATTTCTGAGGGCTCTGTTCTGTTCCATTGGTCTATATCTCTGTTTTGGTACCAGTACCATGCTGCTTTGGTTACTGTAGCCTTGTAGTATAGTTTGAAGTCAGGTAGCGTGATGCCTCCAGCTTTGTCCTTTTGGCTTAGGATTGACTTGGCAATGTGGGCTCTTTTTTGGTTCCATATGAACTCTAAAGTAGTTTTTTCCAATTCTGTGAAGAAAGTCATTGGTAGCTTGATGGGGATGGCATTGAATCTGTAAATTACCTTGGGCAGTATGGTCATTTTCAGGAAATTGATTCTTCCTACCCATGAGCATGGAATGTTCTTCCATTTGTTTGTATCCTCTTTTATTTCCTTGAGCAGTGGTTTGTAGTTCTCCTTGAAGAGGTCCTTCACATCCCTTGTAAGTTGGATTCCTAGGTATTTTATTCTCTTTGAAGCAATTGTGAATGGGAGTTCACTCATGATTTGGCTCTCTGTCTGTTATTGGTGTATAAGAATGCTTGTGATTTTTGCACATTGATTTTATATCCTGAGACTTCGCTGAAGCTTTGAAGCTACTCTCTTCAAAGCTGTCAGAGAATGACATTTAATTCTGCAGAGGTTACTGCTGTCTTTTTGTTTGTCTGTGCCCTGTCCCCAGAGGTGGAGCCTACAGAGGCAGGCAGGCCTCCTTGAGCTGTGGTGGGCTCCACCCAGTTCGAGCTTCCAGATGGCTTGGTTTACCTAATCAAACAGCTAACTCAGCAATGGCGGGTGCCCCTCCCTCAGCCTCGCTGCCACCTTGCAATTTGATCTCAGACTGCTGTGCTAGCAATGAGGGAGACTCCGTGGGTGTAGGACCCTCTGAGCCAGGTGCGGGATATAATCCCTTGGTGTGCCATTTTTTAAGCCCGTTGGAATAGCACAGTATGAGGGTGGGAGTGACCTGATTTTCCAGGTGCCCTCTGTCACCCCTTTCTTTGACTAGGAAAGGGGATTCCCTGACCCCTTGCGCTTCCCTGGTGAGGCGATGCCTCACCCTGCTTCCGCTTGGTGCGCTGCATCCACTGTCCTGCACCTACTGTCTGGCACTCCCCAGTGAGATGAACCCGGTACCTCAGTTGGAAATGCAGAAATCACCCGTCTTCTGCGTCGCTCACGCTGGGAGCTGTAGACCAGATCATTTTTCTTTTTGAGGGAAGAAGAATGAACAACCAAAAAAGCAAACATTAGGAAATAATAAATTTCAGTATATGCAAATAATAGCGGGCCTTATTAGACTACAAATAGTAAAAATTGACCTGGTTTTGTCTTTTGATTGCTTATCATTTAATGTTCAGGTGAAGTAAGTTATTTAGCCAGAGAATTACACCTACATACCTGTCTGTGTTATAAGGAAATGATGTATCTGAATTAGATTATAAGCTCCAAAAGGGCAAGAAATATGTATGTTGGTTTTTAATACCTACTGATCCTTCAAGTATTGAATGAATAAAAAGGAATAAAAAAGTATTTGTAAAGTATTAATATAAGGCAGGTATTTTCAAATATTCCTACCAAAGAATGCAGAGAGAAAATGCAAATTCTAGGACTATGGAGTCTATAACCAAGAACTGTATCCGTCCTTGGAGCACACCATTTTTAAAATCTCACATGTTGTCTCAAAAATAAGTTTAAATATTGCATAATCAATCTAACTTTGTTCTACTATAAAATCAAGTTTTACAATTCCTGAGTAAATTGAGTACTCCTGAAAGGTGTGCTCCGTTTTTTCTATGCCTCAAGGAATTGCTAGCCAACTGGAAAGCAGCATAGAAGTCTACGTTTTCTCATTTGAAAAGCACAGAGTAAGGTATCATTGCTGTAAATTTATATCACCCAACTGAGATCAGATTACTTACCGTAGTATTCACTAAAAATGATGAATATTTATTACCCTGCCAAGCAAACCATGTCACATGGCTATTTTATCAAATAATATCATATGTAATCTAAAGAATTTACAAAATTTAGTAAAAGCTGTCTATAAAGTCGGCCTAAACTGAACAGTATTTCTTAACACTTTTCAGTTCTTAGATTCTTTTGTGAATGTGATGGAAGCTATGAACTCTGTCCTAAGGAAAATGGATATATGCAGATATACTCAAATGTTTTATTCAATTTTTATGAATCCTTTATAAACCTAGATAGCAGGCTGAGAAAAGTACCATGTGGATTATAAATTGGAATAATTGTGAAGGTAATACATCTTAGACATTTTAAAATGAAAGTGTGATTCATGGTCGGTACCTCCTTCCTCCACTTCTTCTTTGTTTTGAGAGGAAATATAGATTTTAGTGTCTAGATGTGTGTGTGAGGGGTAGTATTTTTCTTAATATATGTGCATTTAAAATTTACCAATGGTAGGAAAGGTTATGTAGTGAATATTTCCTCTTTCCCAGAGGTTAAAATTATTACCAGTTTCTTTGTAAGATAATTATGTATACATAAGCATATATTTCATATGCACACATGCTAAAAACACAAAAATGTTTACATATTTTGCAGACTGTTCTATGCTTTCATTTTTCCCCTATATCACACTTAAAGCATATCACACTTAAATATGTTAAACTGTTTTTAATACTGCAGAGTATTTTATTTATGTATTATTTATTTACCCCATCTCTTATTTTTTGATACATATTTAGGTTGTGTGTTTGTGGTCCTTTGCTACCAAAACAAATGAAACAGTAAACATCCTGGTACACTTGTCTTCATGTGCATAGGAGTCACTGTATTTTAAATACACTGAAAAGCTAGGGCAGTCATGGAATGACTGGCACTTGGTCGCAGGCTCACCACATTCAGCACAGCATGTTCAATCATAAGAATGCTGTAGGGAAATTAATTCATTATATTCATGCCACCTAAGGGTACCAATCATCCTTTCTATTCTTGTTTCCATGTCTCTCATTGCAGCTTGGTTCTGTAAGGGAACGGAAATGAGGCTGAACCTTAATTATGTTTCACCATGTAGTTTGCCTGAATTATAGAAGAAAAGAAAAGCTTTCAAGGCTCTGTCTCACCCTGCCCACACGTCCTTCCCACAGATGCTGTCCAGAGTATTGTACACTGATTGTAGTCTGTGGTGGCGGTTGGCAATGTCTGACGCTGAGAGTTTCTGTGGGTTCATTGGGGAATAAACTGTGGCCTCTCTGGATTTCTGGTCCATGCATTTTCTTTATTTAATTATAAATTGACAGATAACATGATATGTTTTTATCAATAATATGATGTTTTGAAATACATACATATTGTGGCGTAGTTATATCTAGCTAATTAATTGCTTACTTTCCATAGCTATCGTGTGTGTGTGTGTGTGTGTGTGTGTGGTGAGAGCAACATAATATCCATTCTCCTTACGTTTTTCAAGAATACAATATATCCTCATTAACTATAATCACCTTGCTGCAAAAAGGTCTCTCAGAATTTATTTATCCTGTCTAATTGTGATTATGTATCCTTTGACCAACATCTGAAAAATTTGAGGAATTAAAATAACAAAAAGGCATACCTGTCAAATTTCTCTAATTAATTGAGTCAAGGTGCTGTAGTTATACATCAAGACCAAAAAGTTGATGCATGGTAAGAGTGTTGCTGTTCCAGAAGGCAGCAAGCATCTAAGACACTTTCAAACCTAAGCCATTCAGTTATCTCAGTATCAGTGCCTTTTTTTTTTTTTTTTGACAATCTCATTCTATCACTCAGGCTGAAGTGCAGTGGCATGATAATAGCTCACTGTAACCTCAAACTCCTAGGCTCAAGCAATCCTCCTGCCTCAGCCTCTTTAGTAGCTGAGACTAGAGGTGAGAGCCACCACTTCTGGCTATTTATTTGTTTGTTTTTTTGTAGCGTAAGGGTCTCATTATGTTGCCCAGGTTGTCTCCAACTCTTGATCTCAAGCTAGCATTCCACCTCGGCTTCCCGAAGTGCTGGGATTACAGGCATGAGCCACCGCGCCCAGCCTGTGCCTCTTTTTGACTCATCTTGGCTCTTCTGACAATTTTGCACGTGATAGGTAAATGCCATTTTTTTCTGGATATGCTGACTTCTTATTTTTATCTTATTCTATGGCAAGCTTCCCTAATTTGCACATTGGCACTGATTTACTTCTGGCGTTTGACCCATTGTTTAAAAATATGTCCCATTGGTGCTTACAGACTGTATGCTGTTTAGAAAACTTATGATTCACAGTACGTATAAATGTGTCACCATGTCCAACTGGTCTGTCTTCCTTGGATGGGCTTTATTCTTGTTCTCTCATGGTGGCATATGTATTCATAGGTGATTGGGGTTGTGAGGACAGAAGTCAGAACTGGGAAACAAGAAGCAGAGTACAGAAAGGTCTTCTAGGTATCAGAGGTCAGAGTAGAACACGAGTCAGGCAAAACAGATGCTGAATAGACTCATGACAGAGGATCAGGATTTAGTTAGATGACTTACAACAAAGAAGACCCCAAAATCAAACTCACACAGGAGAGCTCACAGCCAGGCAAGCTGACATGGACAAAGAGAGCTATAAGTGCTGTTGGGGAAGATAAAAGGGATGAGAATAAATAAGGAACCAAGGCAAATAGAAGAGCTTATAACTCATTCAACAAATACTTGTGATGCAACTACTATGTGTTAGAGTCTCCTTTAGACATTAGAGCTACAATAAATTGTGGGGGATATAATAGCAAAAAAAATCCCTATTCACGTAGAGCTTATCTGAAGCAAAGTGTCTCTTTATATAATTAAAGTGAAAGGAAGAATCAAATTCCCCTGGATGAGTGACCCGAGATTTGTATTTAGAAATAATGTATAATTGAGTTTTATAGAATAATATTTCTTTCTTTTTTTTTTTTTTTTTTTTGAGACGGAGTCTTGCTCTGTCACCCAGGCAGTGGTGTGATCTCAGCTCACTGCAACCTCCATCTCCCAGGTTCAAGTGATTCTCTTGTCTCAGCCTCCCAAGTAGCTGGGACTACAGGCATGTGCCACCATGCCTGGCTAATTTTTGCATTTTTAGTAGATACAGGGTTTTACCATATTAGCCAGGCTAGTCTCAAACTCCTGACCTCAGGCAATGCACCCTCCTCGGCCTCCCAAAGTGCTGGGATTATAGGCGTGAGCCACTGCACCTGACCAGGATAATATTTCTTTAAGCATCTTTGGTGGAAAATAATTTTATAGACTTTTAAATATATATACACATAGAAATTCATGACTTCTCAGTACCTTTAATAGCCCAGGGTCCCAAATGGGCTTAAAGAGAGTTAACATTTTGAGTGTTTCCCAAATGTACATATTCATGGAATCCTTTTTGAAATTGAGTATCTTCTAGAACTACTAGTCCATAAAACACATTTTTGACAAATGATGATGTAGGGAATAAGTGAGTAGGGAAAAAAGAGATAACTCCTCTCACCTGATGCCAAGTAATGCTTCCGTTGGCTCTCCCTGCTCCTCCACTGCCAGTCCTCCTTGTGATGACACCAACTGTGCATGGCTGGGTGGGGGAGGGTGGGGGCAGAGAGATAACTTCAGCTACTTAACTTCTCTCCCTTCATCTGGCATGAGAGCCATTGGACCACATGAGGAGAGTCTATGAATTCTTTCCTGCAGCATATGGAGAAGTCAGTGTCAGATGTTGACAGAAAAGATGGCAGGTGCCTTCCTTCTAGCTGGAGTGGCTGCTGACTTTAATACATGAAAAAAAGTGTTGCCATCTGTACTTGAAATCAGCTGTCACCCCAAATGTGAAAATGTGGGAAGTGGCTATCTCATATTGCCATGCTGTATTGACAGGTGGAGTAGTAGAAGGATTTTCTCTAAATCTGCATTTTGTGCAATTCTTTCTAATGCAAGTCAGTCCAATCTCATTGCTTCTGAGAAAAATTCCTTCTGCCAGTTTCTAATATGTATCCCTCACTTGGAGACTTAATTGCAAGGAAACCTCATAACTGTTCATAGTTGTCACCTATATTTCTGTTTACTTCATGATAATTTGATATATGATTTAAATTTATACATTTATCTAAAAAATCAATTATCTGATTTGTATTTGTTAGGTTATTGAAAGAGAAAGAATAATATGTTTTAAGGGTTGCACTGTTTTTTACTTTTGTAAAAACATGGTTTTACAATGGTTAATGAAGTTTTTTTTTTACTATTTTCATAATTTCAGAAACAATTCATCTACCTAATGGCTCTGATATATAATAGAAATAGAGCACAGTATCTATATACTCATAATCATAAGAACAGAGAAATACTTCAATAAAATACTCAAAGCACTGAAAGATAACTGCATGAATTGTGTCTGATATGAAAGAGAGGAAGTACCCCTATTGCTAGTTTGGCTGAAACGAATGTAAATATTTTTTTAAAATAATAGAGGTAAATATACCTTTCTTTGGTACACAGGATGGTGAGTTCATTGGCTACATTAAATTAGTACATTTCTCATGGAAAGTGGTTAACCTTATAGTTCAATAGACTGAAAGTAAAATAAGGTGTTGATTAGTGCGGGTATCTGTGCAATGCATCTGGGTATTTTGACAATCTGTATCCAATCTGACACTAATTAATGTATGATTCACAGGGGATGAGAGTTCAGTGGCTAAATGTCCTAATTGTCACAAAAGTTTTCTGCTTGGGTTGACAAGAGACAGAAACATGGGCAAATCACTTGTCTGTGATGATAAACATCATAGTGAATTAAAGGGTCAAGATAAAATGTGTGTAGGGAAAAGTAACTGAAATGCACAGCACCCTCCTCCAATACCTTTTCTTCTTGGAGAAAGTTAGGGAAAAGGCAAAGGGAGACTGTATGGACATAACTGAAGATAACTAGCATAGCTTTCGGAAGGCAGCATAGCTAGGCAAAAATGTCCGGTCCTCAACCGCAGATGGAGTTAGGTCAAATTTCTGTTCTAGCATCATTTACTGGAATAGTTCCATGGCCTTAGGCATGTCTTATCATCATGATTTATAAATATATATTTATAGGAAGGGTAAAATGAAATAATATATAAACATGTCCACTACAGTAGTCATCATACTACAAATGCTTCATAAAAAGTGTTTTTATTGTTTCATCCCTATATCATTTATATTTAAATCACATGCCTATTCTATACCTTTAATTTTGTTTTGTGTCAGAACCTCACTTTCAAGTGACCCAGATTCAATTTTTATTTCGTGCAATGTGCATTATGTGTGTGTGTGTATAGATAAATCTCTCTGTATATAAAGACAGACATATATGTGTGTATATATATACACGTGTGTGTATATATATACACTTGTGTAAATATATACACATGTGTGTATAGATATATGTTTGTATATATAGATATCTGTGTGTACATCTAGATATGTGTGTATACAGATATATGTGTGTGTATATAGATATATGTGTATTTATAGATATATGTGTGTATATAGATGTGTGTATATATAGATATGTGTGTACATATAGATATATGTGTACATATCATATGTGTGTACATATAGATATGTGTGTACATATCATATGTGTGTACATATAGATATGTGTGTACATATAGATATATGTGTACATATAGATATGTGTGTACATATAGATATATGTGTACATATAGATATGTGTGTACATATAGATATATGTGTACATATAGATATGTGTGTACATATAGATATATGTGTACATATAGATATGTGTGTATCTAGATATATGTGTGTATACAGATATATGTGTGTATATATAGATTGTGTATATATAGATATATGTGTGTATACAGATATGTGTGTATATATAGACATGTGTGTATATACAGATATATGTGTGTGTATATAGATATGTGTGTATATATATGTGTGTGTATTTACAAATGTATGTGTGTCTATATAGATGTATGTGTATATAAATCTAGGTATAGATATATCTATCTGTATCTAGATATGTATCTATATACAGAGAGAGAGATGTGTGTGTATATAGATATATATCTAGACATATCTATACACACAACATCATGGGTTAATATTTTCTATTTTCTTTTCTTTTTTTTTGAGATGGAGTCTCACTCTGTCACCCAGGCTGGAGTGCAGTGGCACAATCTCAGCTCACCACAACCTCTGCCTCCCAGGTTCAAGAGATTCTCCTGCCTCAGCTTCCCGAGTAGCTGGGATTACAGGCATGTGCCACCACACTAGGCTATTTTTTTGTATTTTTGGTAGAGACGGGGTTTCACCATGTTGGCCAGGCTGGTCTTAAACTCCCGACCTCAGGTGATCCACCCACCTCTGCCTCCCAAAGTGTGATTACAGGCATGAGCCACCACACACCCGGCCGGGTTAATATTTTCTAGAAATACATAATAACATGGATACGTTTGCTTTACCCATTCAGTAGCTCCCTAGCAGACCATAGCTTTGAAGAAATAATAGGACAGCAAGAATCACATCTGATGATTGAAAAAGGTAAAACCCAAGGCAGGAATGTCTTAGGAAAATGAAAACAGCCAATGCCCTGATCCTATGCTTCTATTCTCCTCTCACAGTCACTTTTTTTTACTACTGTCATCCTAATGGCTCTAATGAGTACCATTTTATTGTCTCTGTGTCTTCTCTCTCCACTCCACTGCATATACAAGCCTAACCTTCCTCACAGAGGATAGAAAGGTTTAAAGTACCACTCTTTCCAGATTTTAAGAAATTAAGAATGTCATCATTAGTGCATAAATGTCAGCAGCGCTTTTAAAAAATGCAAAACTGTTTATTTATCATTATATCTTCCCTGAAAACCTCTTTGCTTACAAATAGAATGACCTTACCCTTTTCGATACATGAGGATCCAAAAGCCTAGACAGAGTAAACAACTTCCTTTGTTCACTGAGCAATGAAGAGGATGAGAATTTAGGCTCCTGATTCACTGATGTTCCTTTTACTCCATCTTTTCTTGTTTTTCACCCTATTTCCACTTAAAACCATTCCCTCAATTGCCTTTAGTAAAATCCCAAATTCAATTCAAAATTCTAATGGCATTCTAACCAAAATACTCTGGAGAGGAAAAACATACTAAAATTCATTCATTGGTGGCTTTTGATATCTATTGACTTTAAATGCATATAATTGAATTGATTGAAAGACCAATTAAAATATAATTAGACTTTCTTCCAGGCAGAATTTTACCTTTGAGACTGATTTGTTGATAGCAACCAATAATTTTCCTTTCCAATTCCATCAGGTACAATATTCTAAACTGAAGCCCCCCGGCTTTTTTTTTTTTTTTTTTTTTTTTTTTTTTGGCTATAACCCACACCAAGGCTGTGGCATTTGGCAGGATGGTAATACAAAATTGCAGATTTCTTCTGTTCATTCCACTACTATACATCTAGATATTAATGATATTAATGGACTTTCAGGGATAAGGGGAAGACTTAATTATTATTTGGTTGAAACCTCTCATTTTACAGAAGGAACTTGGTTCAGAAAGGGAAGTGAGCCGTTCAGAAAAAACAACAATTAGTGGTGGGTTTAGGACTACAATTTAGATATTGTGACTCTTCTGACACTTTGTTTAATATTTTTGTTTGTTTTTTAACTGTTAACTCAATGGCCCCTTTTAAACTTATATAACAAACTCAATGGCCCCTTTTAAACTTATATAACACTATACATTTCCTGACAACTTACAAGTTTCAAGGTTGTATTCTGATGGGTGCTATGCTCAACAAAGTGCACTAAATTTCTCATCACCTGTAATCACATTGAACATGGCTGATCTCTGAATTATCCCTTAGGGTAATCATATATCTTATAAGAACAGAGATTTTTTAGCATCTCCTTTAGAAAAATCTAGTTAACTAATGACTCCTCACACTGAAAAGAAAGAAAAAAAGGCAAATGAGATTCTTAAAGATATCTATTCCCAGATAGACTTTAGAATTAATGGATCAAAATTTCCACGCATGATGTCTAAAAACAAAAACAAACAAACAAAATACATAGGGTTATTCTGTTATACTACACACGGGAATCTCTTCACTAAGCTACGCCAGGAGGCAATACAATAAAAGTTTAGTGCAGGGGTGTCCAATTTTTTGGCTTCCCTGGGCCGCATTGGAAGTAGAATTGTCTTGGGCCACACGTAAAATACACCAAGATTAACAACAGCTGATGAGCTGAAAAAAGAAGATCGCAAAAGAAAAGAAAAAAAAATCTCATAATGCTTTAAGAAAGTTTACAAATTTGTGTTGGGCTGCATTCAAAGCCGTCCTGGGCTGCATGTGGCCTGTGGGCCGTGGGTTGGACAAACTTGGCTTAATGGTTTTGGAGATGCCTCTTGGTGTTACCAACTAATCTGACTCTGGAGAAATCTGGGATGCGTAATATCCTTATATACGAGCTATTGGGACCCCTGTCCCGGATGCCATGCTTTTCAGGGGTCTGCTGTTGCTGTTCCCAGCTGTGCCCACCCCTTCTCCAGAACAAGGATTCCACTGAAGCCAGTGAAATCTGTCCACAACTGGAATATGTATTTATGTTCTCTTCCAGACCATATTTTAGGTATCTGGGACCCAGAAGGTTCTCTGCTCAACCTGTTTTAAGTTTGTTTCAGGGTCTATGAGGATCTTTTCCCAAAATCAATCCTGCTGAAGGCACATTAACCCTTTAAGGAGAATTGCTGTTGGCCCTAGGCCCTGTGGGTATGAAGTGTGGATGTTTGGATGGATGTCTGTACACATACCAGCTAGGTCTGTGGCAGTGGATGGGGGTTGGAGTGAAGTAAGAAGGTGGGAGTTATCCATGTGTACTTCTGTTCCTAGTTCTGCAAATGTCAGGAGCAGTCTGTTTGAAATTACCTGATTTCATAAAATGTGGTAAGTCAAGACTAAGAACTTCTCATACATCATGTTTTTGTTTTAATGATATGATTAAGGTACAATGAGAAACTAGTATATTGGTTACAGAAAAATATGAACGAGGTGAAGTTTTTCTTTTGGTGCTCCCCCAAATTCAAAGTGCTATATGCTTTCCACAACTGTGATAAGCCACACCAATGCTTCCCTTGTTAGGCAGTGCCCGAGGTTGAAAGTAGTAATCGATTATAAAATAGATCCTTGCTCCATTTATCAAGTGCCTGCTGTCTTCTTTCAGAAGCTAATCAGCCATATTTCCACATTACTAGGAAACATATGACCCCAGGCATTAAAATGTACATGTCTTAATATATGGTACATCACCATGCATGAACCCCTTCCTTTCTTTAGAATTAAATGATTCATCAAGAAGTCATGTGAGGTGAGTGTGTTAGTAAAATGTTACATTTTACTAATGAGGAAACTCATCATGGGAACATTCCATTTTCTTGTGTGAAGTTAAATACTTAATAATTGGTAGGACTGAGACTCATTGGGGGACATAATTCAACCCAGAATTCTACATATGGTGTCGTAGGTTGAAGATGTTAGGGGTAAAAGAGACTGAAGGGGAGATTATGTTGGATTCTTGTTTGTGCCTATAATTTGGAGGCAGAAATATTCTTAAGTTTAGGAAGATAATAGGGAACATTTTAACGTGATCCATACATACAAGGAACCACCTGAAGAATACAAAAGGTAAATATGGCAAGTAGAAAACACAAAAAATAAGATTCAGAATAAATCCTAATAAATGAATTGTTATAATACATGTAAATAGGCTAAACTCATTGTTCAAATAATGGCCAAGGTGAATAAAAATCAAGAACCTCTAAAATTATTATAGGAAAGATGCATATAAAATGATTATTTTTTGTTTGGAAAAAAATGTATAATCTAAAAGAAATGCAGGTTAGGACATTTAAAATCAAGCCAAATTTACTCTAAGAGTAGATGAAAGGGAAAATGTATCAAAAAGATACAAGTGATGGTTAGTATATATTTGTTGAAAAATATTTTCAAATTCATAATTAATAGTTGACAGAACTGTATGAGAAAAAGTAATTATAGTTCAGTAATGTAAAATACTCTTTCCTGAAAGTAAGATGTTAAGCAAACACAAAAAAGAAAATATGTAGGCCATTTGAAAACGATGATCCAGATAGAAATTTAGTCAACAAACATGTATTTTTTAAGGACACACATATATCGAAATAGGTATAAAGAAGGGACATTGTAAAAATATGTAATCCTAGGAATTTGGGAAGCCAAGGTTGGAGGATCAGGCATGAATAATTTAATTCTGTGTACCTAAGGTACAGATAAAAATTTTTAATTAAAGTGAAATTGACTAGTGATCGACATACATATATATGGAGCTTTCTATTTTCATGTTCCTTGCCAGGCTTTCTTAAATTACAAGTTCTACAAATACATTTGAGATAGGATTCAAATTACATATTTTTTTTATACCTGTGAAAATATATGTGACGTAAGGTGAATTTCACTTGGAGTTACTTTTCAGGGAATCATAAGTTTTCTCCCTTTCCTTGGCTGGAGGAAACAGAATGGATAAGTTTGGATATTTCATTTTTCTTTTCAGACACTAAAGATAAAAGGAAGTCTGGTTTTTAGACAGCCTTTGAACTGACATGTTGCCACCTTGACTCTGAATCAAATTTCCCAAGAGTCCAGCTGACAAAGTAAGCCACTCTTTGAATATTCTTTCCTGATGCTGAATTGAACTGGGGATCCGGTTTTAATGTAGCCCAAAAACCTATTGTAACAATTCACAAATGAACAAATAATGACAAGTCAAACAATAAAAATTCTTGAGCAAGTATTATTTCATTTCACTGATGAAGAAAACTGAGGCACATGAAAATTTAGTGACATATTTCAAATCATGCCATGAATCAGATAAAACTCAAGTTGGAACTAGAACCATATTTTCTGACTCCTAGCAAGCCTTGTTTCCACTATGTGCTCCCTAATAAAGTATTCAAGCACATGTGATTCAAGGTATGATAAAATGCATCATCAATATTTAAGATTTTGTATATGATGCTTTCCATGGAGTTTGAAGGTTTATAGGAAGATGCAAAACAGCAATTTATGTCTAAAGTAGAGACATTTTAAACTAAAGTTTTAATTAACTGGTATTTTTTTGTCTTCTCACAGTGCACAATAAACTTTATCTGTTTGCTGTCTGAAGCTCTGTGTTTGCAAATTAGGAGCTCCAGCTTCTTTCCATTTTAATTAAAAATCGTGAGCTTGACATAATCAACTTCCTTCCTTTTTTGGTTGTTTAATGAACATTAATGAAACAAAATTAAAGTGCTATTTAACATTCCGCCAATTTATTAATGGTTAGGCAGGATAACTTTGTTCTCAGGGACTGAAGTTGAACTTAAATAATTTAGGGAAATTAACTTTCCCAATAGCATTTAATAAAGTCACAGTGGGCCATGGGACCTGCAAAGCTGGGTCAACACATCATTGATGTTATTGTTTATATTGAGAAGCATCTTAAAATCAGAGAAACAATCAGAAGCCTAATCAACAATGGCTTCCTCATGATTAAAATTCTGGCATTTCAGATGAGGGCAGAGTGCCATTCTTCCATGATAGTGCTTTGCCCACTTTATTCATATATTTTATGTATTTGCATACATGCCCCCCAACTATCATTTTGTGCATTATCTGCTTACATATTGAATGCCTTTTACAAACCTAGTCCTACCTTAGATTTTATATATTGTACTCTGAAGTTAATTTTTAAAAGTCCGTAAGAGGCAATATAAGAGAATATTCTATAATAAGTTTTCAAACTTTCACACCAAAAAGACCTTAATGTGAATTCTACATCTGCCTTTTACCAGCCATGTTACCTTGGGCAATTTATTATTTTCTTTGATTCTCAAGTTTATCTCATCTCTGTTTGCAACATAAAATTGATCATTCAATCAGGAAATATTTTATGCCAGATTTTGTACTAGGTCTTGGGCTGAACAAGATGAACATCTAGGCTTGCAGGGAATTTACCATGTAGCAGGGGAGAGAAATGTAAAATATTAAATCATGCATAATGATTATTTACTTAAATTTTTACCAAATTTTAATGAAATGCTTAGAAGTCTGAAAATCATTATAGAGTCCCTTAAAAAAAATACAAAACAAAACTTGAAAGAAGAGGGGAAGTTGGCCAGCAGGAAAGAGGTGGAAAGAGTGGCTCCGGGAGAAGAAAAAATGTGCAAAAGCTGGGAACAGGAAAGGAGTTTGTAGAAAGAAGAGAGTTGACAGATGTAGGCACGAAGTTGATCATACAGCACCTTGTAAGCTAAATTGGGAATGTTAGGTGACCCTTGAGTGCAATAGCAAGTCACCAAATGATTTTAAGCAGTTCAGGAAATGAGAGTGCATTTGTTTTCTATCACTGTTATACTCAACTAGCACAAACATAGTGGCTTAAAACAGCACAGATCTAGGATCTTAGAGTTCTCTAGATCAGAGGTCCAACACAGGTCTCCCAGGGCTAAAATCAAGGTGTTGGTAGAACTGTGTTCCTTTGTGGAAGCTCTAGGAGAATCCATTTCCTTGCCTTTTCTGGCTTCCGGAGGCAACCCACATGTCTTGGTTCACGGCCCCTTCCCTCTCCTTCAAAGCCAGCAACAGTGAGTGGAGTCTTCACTTTTCATCACTCTGACTTCCTCCGCTTTTAAGGATGTGTGTGATTATAATGGACCCACCTGGATAACTGAGGATAATCTCCCTATCTAAGGTCAGCTTATTAACAATTTAACAATCATAATCTCATCTACGAACTTAATTTTTTTTTCCATATAACATACTTATTCACAAGTTCTGAGGATTAGGATATGCAAACTTTTCTGGAGAGGTCTCATTCTGCCTACAACAAGAAGGAAGCAAAGCAAGGATATGATCTCAGGAAAAGTCCTGTAGAAACACTTTGGAATATAGATCCACGTTAGAGTTAAGAAATAACTCTAAGAATAACCCTTAAGAAATAAGGTTGCTCCAGTGAGAGGTAAATTCTAAGACTCTTCAGTTCTTATAGTCCAAAGACAGACTTCCTAAAGAGATGGAGGTACAACCAGAAAAGAAAGTAAATCAAGGCATGTACAATGCACTACTGTCTTATGTAACACTAAAAGAGAATATTCTGGTAATTAAACTATATCAATTATGGGACATTTCTTGAATTTAGCAAGGATAAAATGTGAAAAATATGCATCTTACTATCAAGGAAATAAGACAATGATATAAAACTTTTTTAAAGCACTTACCCTCATCAACTGATAAATCTAACTATCATCACTCTCATTAATGTGAGCTACATATGCCAATATAGAACATGTTGTGAAGTTATACTCTCCCATTTGTCTGCTCCCTTACTCTCCTAGCTTAACAAAGTATTTGCAATGGACTCATACATTAATATGGACATGACAAACATGAGGTATATAAGCTCTGCAGCCATCTCTCTCAGGTTTTAAACTATTCATAACTCTGGGGAGGCATCACAAATCAATCAAAAATGTTTCTATGGAAATTTAGGAAGACTGAGGGTCTTTCTCATAGGTGAGGTGACAATGTAATTGATTGAAACTAGGACCCTCCTGCGAGTCAAAGAGAAATCTATTAATAAATATGCTTCAATAAAATGTCTGAAATGGTAATAACATCCTAGGCAAACTGGGATAGACTGTTCGTCAACTCATATAAGTTCCATAATTCACAGTCGATGGATTAAAGTTAGTGTGCATGTTGAAACCTCTTTACCATTCCTGTCTGAAAAATGCGTTCCTGATATAGTTAGAAACAGTGAAAGAAGCTCCTGGCTGGGCTGGAAAGGATGTGATGTCACGATTCGTCTGAGGAATCCTGGCAGTTGTTGCCTCCAGAGAGCTCTCTGTTCTGTGTATTCCTGTCTCCCGACTTGTTTTCTCCCTGATCGTGGTTAGCTGTGTAGCCTTAACTTTGGTTTCATCATGCTGGAACCCTGAGCAGCTGTTTGGTGAGGTGGCCACTGACTCTTCTCTGTGTCTGGCTATTTCAGTGCCAATGTCGCCCTACTGACTACAGCATCTTAGGAGCTGTCACCAGCCCTACTGTGGTTTTGACAATTGATGTGTCAGAGAAACACGGAAGAGAGAATTCAAAGGACAATGAACCACGGAATAGATACCCTTTGCAAGAGTGGCACTATGTAATGAAGAAATTATTAAAAATCACTTAAAATTGGACATTCATAATTGTAAAAAGTATAAATATTTTCTTTCATTTCTGACTAGAGCTTTGTGAAAACTGTAAGGGAACTATCAGTACTCTAAAGGGGATGTAACATACAGAAGTGAGATGAGAAATAATTCTATTAACTAGTTTGATGTTTTATGTGTATAATGCAAATGACCTAAACAAGTGAAAATATGAGGAAAACACAAAGTATCTGATTACTTTGTGTTCTATGATTTGGAACACAAAGTAATCAGATACTTTGTGTTTTATAATTTAAGGTACATAAACACAAACATATGCCATGCACACATATACAAGAATTAACCCCATGACATTTCTTCCTCATTTAACAACAAAATATTAAATCACAAATCCAGTCGATTCTACTCTCTTCTGACTCTAGTATAAAAAAATAAAGGCCACATGGATTAGAAAATCTACTATTCTACTCTTTTTCATAGCACAATTATTTTGTCTCTTTTGAAAAGAATTCAAGCATAAATATCTCTATCACAAATATTAAAGCTTATATTGTAATCACATAGCCTGAAGAAAGAAATTTAGAAGAAGAGAGACAAGATTAGAAAGAAGACAAAGGAACAAAAAGATAATACTTTTAGAAAGCTTTCTAGGTGGCTGAAGACAAACCACCTATCCAATATTTCCTCTCAAAACAATTCAGAACAGTAAAAAGAGGAATTACACATATAAAACATATTATAAATATATAACATTATATATAACATAGTTAACATATATAAAATGTTATGTATGTATATATAACATATATGTATATATAACATGTATGTGTGCGTATGTATGTGTATGTGTGTGTGTGTGTGTGTGTGTGTGTATATATATATTGCTGTGGATAATTAAAAAACCATAACATGTTCAATTTTCAAAATGCCTTAAGTAAAAGGAGAAAAGTCACCAGATCCTAGCTCTATACTCTCTCCTGCTCCCCCTCTACCCCTGCCCCCTGCAAAACTTTGTAACAAAGAAAGATGGAAAATAATTTTGAAGAGAGAAGGCACAGTTACCTATGAGGCCTAAGTTTAATTCAAAGCCACAGCCCTTAGTGTGAAAATACTAAAAAAGTGTCAAGGTAGATCAGAGCATAGACTATTAGAGAAACTTAAAAGTATGTATGATTTAGAACAACAGTTTTGATATGCATAGTTTCTGAAGGAGGAAAAGGGAATAAAAGGAAAAAACAACCCCCTTTGTTGGATTATGAAGGGGAAAGAAGAAAAAAGAAAAATTTAGGTCTTTAAGATAAAACTTAGGATCTGCAAGTCACAGAATCTAAGAATTTTAAATCCTCCTCTACCACGAGAATAAACAACAAAATCCATCACTATATTAGAGGACAGAATAGGGTACCTCTAAAAATCCTGTAAAATACCTCAATACCACAACAGTTCATAAAAGGAAAATTAACAAATGCACATAGGGCTATTGTAAAAATTCAGAAGACAAAATTACAAATACATCAGCTGCAAAAAATTCTCCAGGAAGCAGAGAAAACTGCAAGCTAAACACTCCAAAATATACTGAAATAAGCATTTGAGGATATGAAAACCGCATTGAATGAGAAATTCAAAAACTAAACATCAAAATAGACAAAAAGTAGAGAGAAATAAAAAGACTTGATTGGACTCAAGAAAATATGAAAGAAAGACAAAATTATTTCCAGGATGAAAAATAAATTACAAGAAAGAAGAGACTGAAATAAAAATTTAATACAGGGTGATATAGTTTGGATATGTGTCCCCGCCTAAATCTTATGTTGTAATGTAATCCCTAGTGTTGGAGGTGGGGCCAGATGGAAGATGACTGGATCGTGGGGGCAGATTTGTCATGAATGGTTTAGCACTGCTCCTTTTGGTAGTGTCCTCGTGATAGTGAGTGAGTTCTCGTGAGATCTGGTCTTTTAAATTGTATAGCACCTCCCCACTTTCTCTCTTGCACCTGCTTTCACCATGCGATGTGCCTGCTCCCACTTTGCCTGCTGCCATGACTGGAAGCTTCCTAGGCCTTCCCAGAAGCAGACGCCACTCACTATTCTTCCTGTACAGCCTGCAGAACCATGAGCCAATTAAACCTCTATTCTTATATATTACCCATCCTCAGGTTTTTTCTTTTCTTTCCTTTTCTTTTCTTTCTCTCTTTCTTTTTTTTTTTTTTTTTTTTTTGAGACAGAGTTTCGCTCTTGTTGCCCAAGCTAGAGTGCAATGGTGAGATCTCAGCTCACTGCAACCTCCACCTCCTGAGTTCAAGCAATTCTCCTGCCTCAGCCTCCCGAGTAGCTGGGGTTACTGGCGCACACCACCACACCTGGCTAATTTTTTTTATATTTTTAGTAGAAATGGGGTTTCACCATGTTAGCTAGGCTGGTCTCGAACTCTTGACCTCAGGTGATCCACCCGCCTCGGCCTCCCAAAGTGATGGGATTACAGGCATGAGCCACCGCCCCTGGCCCCTCAGGTATTTCTTTATAGCAATGCGAGAATGAACTAACACACGAGTTTTTGAAGAATGTCAGAAAATCAACCAAGAGAAAGAAAATGATATAAAGAGTTAAAAAATGATAGAAGAAAAAGTAGGAGAAATAAAAGGCAAAGAATGAATAATAATGATTAATAATATTAACAGAATCCCTAAAGAAGAAACACTACATAATCAAATAGAACTAATAAAGAGAGTCACCATTCATAAAACACCATCAAAATAATTATTTCAGGCAAAAACCACTGATGAATGATAAAATCAGTGGGGGAAAGTACAGTGAGAAATAGAAAATGTGCATACCTCAAATTGACTCTACACTATATACTTATTAATTACAAAGGAAAAAATAGCAACTTTACAATGGAGGAACCTGGCAGACAACACTCTAATCAAGACATCAAGGTTAACACTATTTAAGATAGACAAATGTATATCCTGATAGGATACATTGAGAAAGACACACCGCCTCTGTGTTACTCTTGTTGAAACTGTGTAACCTCATTCTAAACATGAGAAGACATCAAACCTCATTGAAGGACATTCTACAGGAAACAATCACTGTTAAAAGTGTCAGGGCCATGAAAGACAACAAAATGTTAATTTCCTGGCTTCTATAACTTTAGTGTGGCTATGTTAGTTGTATATATTAGGGGAAGCTGAGTAAAGGATATAAAGATACTACTTTTGCAGCTTTTCTTCATCTAAAGCTATTTCAAAAAGTAAAAATTAAAAAGAAAATCAAATGATGGTAACCACTATTTTTATTCTATAATGTGGTTCTGTAAGAATAGAATAACAGTTTATATATCAATGCTATATATTTTAGTTTAGTTTTATTTATATGTAAACATAAATATACAGCATATAATATGTATATATATTTTTATGTATGTAAAATCATCAAATATAAGCTATTTCCCAGTGGAAAAGATTCTTCAAGAGGTTTTCTTTGTTTTACACACTTGATTATTTAAACTCTTATAATAGATTTTTACTTACTAATTAATTTGTTTACCAATGTATGTTAAAATCTACATGTAATACAATTTTCACATATTTCATTGAACAATGTTATTTAAATTCTTTAAATCATCTTTGCCATTAGTGTTTTCATTATCATTACAGTCACATTTTGGATCCTGTAACACAGTTATCTAGAGCGTATCATCTTTTTTTTTTTCTAAATTATTTGACACATGGTACTTTTGAATCTGTTGATGGGGCTGTCCCTAAAATTTTTATTCTTAGACATGGTACTAAATTGCAAATAGGTAACGCTGTTTTTTTTTTTAATCCTTTTAAAAATTTCGTCTTAAAATAGAAAAATTTGGTTGAATGATGGAACAACTTACTATACTCGCCTTAAAAATTTTTAACATTTAAGAAAGTTTTATTTTTAATTGACAAATAGTAATTGTACATATTCATGAGGTGTAAAGTGATGTTTTGATACATATATAGTGATAAGATCAAGTAGTCTGCAACTGCTTTGTAATTTGCTGATTAAAAAGTATTTAACATTCACAGCTATAAAGAATAATTACCATTCTAAAACTTTTAGTCTCTTTTTAAAGTTTACTGTCCCACAAGTTTTTAGTCATCAATACTTTTATTGTTTGAGATCTCTTCAATCTAATGTGCATTCCCCAAACAGTTCTTTAATGTACAAAATGAATTAAGAAAACATTTTGTATATAATATGTTACTTGCATATTTTTTACTTTAGAGGAAAATGCCAAAAATCAACGGACTTTTTAAAAACTATTCACGGCAGTGCTTCAGAACTGTGTACAGACTTCTAAAGTGGGATCGTTACTTAAAATCATGCCTCTGTGCATTGGGCTGGCTGGACTTCATAGATCCAAATCGTTCTCTGACCTTTCTCTCCATGCTATGGTTCTGATTAAAGCAGAATGGCTACAGAGAAACTTTACAGTTGCAGATAAAAGTCTACCCATTTTGGTAGAAATGAAATGATGTCTGACAACTGGTTGGTAATAAAATGAGATGAGAAGGTGCATGCTTCCTGAAGTGGCCAGGTCCAGTGCATTCTGCTGTGCACCAGCTGGAGATAAATCTGTCAGCAGAATTTTATTTTCCTTGTCTCTAAGTCCATACAACTCTCTTCACAAATATTTTGTTTTCTTTCACAGACCTGCAAATCAATATATATATATATATATATGTATATATATATATATATGTGTATATATATATATACGTATATATATATATGTATATGTATATATATATATACGTATATATATATATATATATATATATATATGTTTTGTTGTTGGTGAGATACATGTGGTGGATGTGATGTAGTTACCAAACTCAGGTGCACAAAAGAACACTGTGGGGTGAGGGAAGGGTAGGAATTCTATTAATACCTCACTCATTTATGGGAGATGTCCATGCTTTTAGGGAAATCCAGCAAATTCTAGTCTCCATCCTGTCATGGTTATTGCTGCTGGCTTTATTGTTCAAGTCCATGTGTTTCCTGGAAGACTGGCGCCTCTGGGGTTCCATGACACGTGATGGCATGTGATTCTTCACTAAAGCAAGGGAAGCCAGGAGTCAGGGGCCAGGCGCTGGCCTCCCTAAGCATGCCAAACTTCAGCCTCGGCATGTTTCACCAGCACGCTGAAGTGATGTCTGGAATTGGATAATGTGTTCCTACTGCCTGCAAAACCCAGAGACCTTTAACTCCTACTCATCTGGGGAGGGGGGGAAACATCTCATTTTCTCCTCTTATAATCTATAAAGGTAGAGACTCTCTGATATGGTTTGGCTGTGCCTACATTTACATATCATCTTGAATTGTAGCTCCCATAGTTCCCACATGTTGTTTGAGATAACTGAATCATGGGGGCGGTTTCCCCCATGCTATTCTTGTGGCTTGAGTAAGTTTCACGAGATCTAATGGTTTTATAAGGGGAAGCCCCTTTTGCTGGCCTCTCATTTCTTTTTTGCTGCCACCATATAAGACATGCGTTTCGCCTTCTGCCATGATTGTGAGGCCTCCCTAGCCACATGGAACGTGGAACTGTGAGTTCATTAAACCTCTTTTTCTTTATAAATTATCCAGTCTCAGGTATGTCTTTATCAGCAGCATGAACATGGATTAATATACTCTCCTTTTTCTCTAATGCTGCAAGAATGTTTTCTTCCCTGATTTTAAACTTTTACTAAAGACATGAAGGAAACATTTCACTTTGAAGCTTTTGATTTACTTCTATAAAATTCCTGAGGCAAGGAAACACTAAGACTGGCATGGCATGGATGAGGGGCGCAGAACAGGGAAGAAGTGAAAAATACTCTTAACAAAACCAAACTAATATCTCAAATTGCTGCAACTAGGAAAATTATAATTGACTAAATATTTGACCAAATGAATATCAGAAAAATCTGTTACCATTGAGTCTTAAGGGGAAGGTCAAGACTACAGATTTTGTTATAGTGATAGAAAACATTATTTGCATCCAGAGAAGCAAAAGCTGTGTATCTTCATATATCCTCTCATTTGTTTGTCTCAGATGCTAACTTATCTCATTCAAGAGGACCTCCTCCCTGATCTGTGAACTCTCTAAGTGCTATTCTGTTCGTCTCTTTTACTTAGCTCGTTCTAGCTTGCATGTATGTATACATGCTTGCTGTTCCAGTCACATGCTACTTCCCTGAAGTTAGGATCCCTGTTTTCTGCATGTGGATAATGTTCACAGTACTGACCACAGTACCAAATTTACATAATACACACTTAATAAGTTCACTAAGATTGTACAACATAAGCATTCAGCATATGCAAATACAACTATACAAGCAAAGAAAAAAAGTGCTTTTTTTTTTCTTAAGAACATAGATTTAGGCTTTTTTTTTTTTTTGGCATTTCACTTCTTGGGCACTGGGACACATTTGCTGTCTGTTCTCTGTATGCCTCAGCATTCCGTTTCCCTTACTATGACTGTAATGATTGGAAAGCCCTTGTCTTTAACATAAGCCAAGCACAAAACTGGAATACAACAGTTTTATCCAAACTAGCAGTAAATGTGGCTATATTCAATTTAGGGAGGGATAATACAATACTGGTCATTCAGTAGAACTTATGGGACACTCAAGGGTAGCGTTCATTTGAAGTAGTTTTCAGGTTATCCTATAATTGTGGAACCCAATCACCAGATGTGGTAAATCATGTGTATTGGCTCTCTTAGCTTTCTTTCTATCCATTTTCTCTTTAGAGAGGCTGAAAACTGAAAACTATACTTCCCACACTCCCTGGCAGCTGGGTCCAGTTATGAATCAGGTAAAGCCGTTAAAAGAATGTGTGCAAATCCATGAGTAGTTCCTTCCAGAATCCATCATTCAGCCCTTCTTGAGGGCTACTAGAAGTATTTACAGTAGCTGAATGTCTTGCTCCAGTGTTTAGGTTTCAGAATTGTAGTGGTGAGAGGCCTTTAAGGCTTGGGAGCTGCAGCAGCTTGCTAACCTCAAGGCTGTAGCTACAGCAAAATGTTCCTAAATTTAATAAGCAGGAGGCTGACTTGTACCACTCTGCCCTTCCAACTATTTTGTAAGCACCTAATTACACCTTTTAAATCAGTAAGATTAGTTTTTCAAGAAATTACTGAGCACCTAAAAGCATGCCTATTTCCCTCAACCAGAAGTGTTGATAAAGAAAAACTATATATGAATGTATGTGTGATATAAATATGTATGCATATTTTACTGATTTTATTACCTATAACATCATAGAATGTCACTGTAATAAGGAACCAGAAAAAGTATATGTCCCCTTCTTTCCACTACAGTTGAAAGAACTAAAGGCAAAACTAATTTTGGCATGTCTAGATTTAAACCACACTGATCTAGAGCCCGGGCTACCACCCAGATGTTTCTGGCCACATGTTCAGGACCTTTTCTACTGTTGAAAAAAAAAATCTGGTTGCGGCTGGGCGCGGTGGCTCACGCCTGTAATCCCAGCACTTTGGGAGCCTGAGGCGGGCAGATCACGAGGTCAGGAGATCGAGACCATCCTGGCTAACACGGTGAAACCTCATCTCTACTGAAAATACAAAAAATTAGCCGGGCATGGTGGCGGGCGCCTGTAGTCCCAGCTACTCGGGAGGCTGAGGCAGGAGAATGGCGTGAACCCGGGAGGTGGAGCTTGCAGTGAGCCGAGATAGCGCCACTGCACTCCAGCCTGAGCGACAGAGCCAGACTCCGTCTCAAAAAAAAAAAAAAAAAAAAAAAAAATCTGGTTGCAAAAGATTCAAGAAGATATTTTATAAATTTAAAGTCATTGTAATTTATGTATTCACTTCTCTCTTTTTTTTTCCTCTGTCTCTCTTTATCCGTCTCTCTCCTCTATTCATTGACCCAGGGTCTAATTTATTGAAACTCAAATTTGATGCTTATACTTACAGTATGAAAAATGAAAAATGTGTGTGTGAGGATAGATGCAAATGTCATGTGTTTTCAGGAATATCATTTAAGTTTGAAGATGATTTTAACCCAGCAGTTTTGTTTGTTTGCTTAGTTTTAGAAATGAGGCCTTTCTATGTTGCCTAGGCTGGAGTGCAGTGGCTACTCACAGGGATGATCATAGTGTATTGCAGCCTCGAACTGCAGGCCTCAAGCTGTCCTTCCATTCTCAGCCTCATGAGTAGCTGGGACTACAGGTGGATACCACCATACCTGGCAAGTAATATTATTTAGATGATACCATTTACAAAGTACCAGTCACTTGGGCTGTTACCTATGTTCTAACACTTTAAAAACTGTGTGACTTTGGAAAGTTTATCTTTCTGGTCCCCAGTTCAATCTCTGTAAATTGAAGTTAATATGAGAGCTATTAAACAGCACTTTACTGTGTATTAGGTTAGTTATGCTTATGCATAATGAGGCCAATTTTTCATCGTCTACATGAAATCTGATGTTGATCTCGTGACACTAGGATTGCAAACTCTGGAAACATACAATATAGCACTCTTGTCACAGACATTTGTCATGTCATGATTACTAGAGGCACCTGTGAGACCTCGCCAAGCAGCCATTTAAACAGAATTTTAAAGAAGGAAGGGAGGATAGAGCACATTTCTTGTGGTGCCTTTAGATGACAGAAAGGCATATAGGCACATTGGAAGCACCCCATTGTGGATTCAAAAATATGTCTACTTTCGGGAGGTTTGTCACCTTGCCTGGGATAATAGACGTTACTAAGATAACATATTTTTATTATAAATTTGAAATCCTTAATAACAAATTATTTGGTATGAGGATATGCACTAAATAATTGGTATGCCCTCACTACACAGCTACTGTATTTTGTCGATCTAATATAAAGAAGTTTTTGTCATTACTCCGTGGGTGAACTTTTTTTTTACACAACCAGTTTCTATAGTTAGCAGAGTTCTAGGGAACTCAGCAATAGCTAGATTAAGAGATGCCATCATCCCAAGATAATTAAAGACCCAAAGAAAGTCATTTACATCACTCGCTGAAAGACAAAGTTAGGGGCTATATATTTCATAAAAGATCTGGGCACAGACATTGATTCTGCCGTGGACCAAGAGAGTCCACGCTCTGTCCTGGGGAAGCAAAATTTAGTGTTATTTTAAAAAGTTAATTAAACTCACTGATGTATGACCGGTAAAAAAAGGTGAGCATGTCAGAATGCTGGTATTGCAAGAAGGCACTCAGAGAGAGCAGACTTCATGACTGAAAGGCTGTCTTAAGAATGGTGCCAACTCCTGCCCTCATCTTTCTAGAGAAGCCCTGTTTTTAAAAATAAATAACAATAAATACCCAGATAATAGCTTCTGAGAAGTCTAATGGCATATTATAATGAAAAGAATGCCAAAAAAAAGGGCTCTATACTCCTTGTTCTCTCCATTTATTTATTTAAAAACATTTATTGAGCACCTAGGCCCTGTGCCGACTCCAAGAGATATAACACTCAACAAGAAAAATTATGTCTTTGCCTTCAATGAGCAGACACTCAATAGGTTCTGGTTGTACTCACTGTATGTATGTCATAGGTTACATTTCCTCCCTGTGGTTCAGTTTTTTTATCTGTTAGTTGACTGATAACCTGTGATTCTTTTTGTCAGACCTTGGGAAATAGGCATGCAAGATGACAAATAGATTTGGAGGACAGCAACAGAGAGGTGGTGGGGTTTCATTTGGGACATAATGAGTGTGAGGTCCACCAGGGATTGGGAAATTTTGGATTGAAACTAAGGATGGAGGCAGAGATTTAACATAAAGAGGAAATGAATTTACAGGGTTAAAGCTTTATCAACTATCATTCTGAAGGGGGTTCCACAAGGGAAGGGGAAAAGAGGATGGATGAAAGGAATGCACAGGGTTAGCACGCTTACCACATCTTCTTGTGATTCCCGTTGTTGAGATGAGAAAACTGATATGCAGCAAGATTAAAATATCCATGATTACACACTTGGAACCTTGAGGCATCCTCTCCAACCCAGTTCATTCTAGCTGTATAGCCTATATTTCTCATTCCCTATTATGTGGCCTGTCCTAGAGTGCACAAAGAACAGAGAAGCAGCAAAGAAGGAAGCAGTGCTTCCCGCTGGGTGAAATCTTGTGGAGTTTTATGGAAGAGATAGCATTTAAGCTGGGTGATATTAGGACATGTGGCAAGGAGTGGCAGAATTGGCTATCAGTCAAAATGCAATATGAATAGAGAGTAAAAAGCCAAATGATGTAGAATGAACAATAAGATTGAGGCTTATGATATAGTAAAGAGACAACAAAGAGTGGAGATGTAAGTTAAAACCAGTTTTTCTAGGCTTTGAATACCAGGCCAAGTATTTTAGACTAATGCAAAACGGCAGAAGATCCAATGTGAAAAGTCTATGCGCAAAGCAGTGGTGTCCTCAGAGTTGTACTTTGTTAAGTTTGATTTTTCCATCATTTTCAGATTGACTGAAATCCTTGGTTATCATCACCAAAAAACTTTGAAATCTAGAGGAAGAAGGTCTTAATTGTGGTGCCTGGCTTTTTCGCAAACTTGGATTTTCTATGCTAATTCTATTGGTTTATTTCTGGCTCCTGTTAAAGTAAATAAAAATGGAGACCAGGCTTGAAGAATCCCTGAGCAAACAAGGCCAATTAGGCCTCATAAGTGACTTTAACCTTAAGGTTAAGTGAAACTTAACCTGAGCCATTTCTTGTAAATTCCTATATTAAAGGAAAACAGAACTTAAGTTCAACCAATTAGAAGCAGCCACAAATGTATAATTATATAACTAGAGACTTTCTAACTGGGCACATCAAATAAGGCAACTATAGAACTATAACCAATCAAAATATTTTCCTTGCTTTACTTCAATGTTTGTCCAAAAAAAAAAAAAACAAAAAACAAACAAAAAAAACACCTCTTTGTTTTACTTCCTTGATGGAGCATCTGAATGACTTCTGGCTTGGAGTTGCCTGATTCATGAATTGCTGTTTGCTCAAATAAACTCTTTTAAATTTTATTGTGCCTCAGTTTACTTTTTAACATTCTTCCTCCCACCCACATCCCCTAAGAATATGTTGGACCCAGTGTCCTAAAATATTTTGACAGAATTGCAGGCTTCCCTGTTCCCATTCTGTTTGGTTAAGCCATGGCACACCGCTCTGTGTGTTCAGTGAGCTCTGATAAACGTTGCTTCCTGTGTTATTGCGTCGCTCTCTTTGTCTCCATGTATCAAATTAATAAGTATATGTCCATGAAACAGAGTTTCAGACACAACCTCTTAGATAGACATAAATCTGCTTGCATTTTACCTTCTTCTCTACCCTAAAACCTGTCCCAGCGCAACATGGGCTCTCTCTGTTATCTAGAAAAATCCTCTGGGGATCTGAGTAGATGGCTACAAGAGTCAATGTGGGCTATTGTTTCACCAATCCACTTTCACTGTCATCTGAAGGTCTCAAAAAATAAAGGACAAAAATAACAACAGCTCCTCATTTGTGTGTCTTTTTGGAACTATTCCATCAAAATGATAACCAAATGCCATTGTATTTTGGATACTTTTAAAAGGGAAACAATTTGGTTTTGATTCCCCAAGAACATATTTGTAGACGTGGATGAAGAAAACCTGTTCTACAATGAACATCTATCTCTGCAGGCAATACCATAATACTGTTCACAATAGGTCCTTCTCCAAATGACTATGTAATCCTACCTTCTGGTATCAGGCCCATAGCATTTTCCTCCTAATCTTGAAGCCTAGATTGTCTTTGCATTTTTTTTTTACTATTGAAAAGAATTAATTTATGTCTTCCATTAACTAAGTTACTTTATAAGACTCTACGCCAAAATAAATAAGCATACAAAATAGTGGTTATTCTTTCTCACTTACATGACAAATACGGAAGTAGTTCCATATTGTCTCACTGATAGCTGGGTACTAGATGCAGTGACTACCTCATTATGCATGTTTTATAGGAAGCCTAAATAAGAAACATTAATGGTTCTTTTCCTATTATACTTTGAACAAGAACTTAGAAGTGGCATGTGCTAGAATATTTTCTTTGGGATTATTCACCAGCAAATTTGGAGAGTTTTTAGATCTCACAAGATTTGTAACACAGAATATCCCAAGAATGTAGGCTATGCGAGACACTTAATTTACTGTAAAATATTGTGCCTCTCAATATTAAAAAGACAAACTGTTCTAGCATTAGCTAGCTATTTCTTTTACCAGAACATTGAATCTAAAATTGTAAGTAAAACTATCCAAATTGCTAGAATTAATTTTCTATTAAAATGTTTGTCTAAGGTGTTTTTCCATCCATAGACAATTATTTTTCATTACAAATCTGCTAGAATGCAGGATGCCTGTCAGTTATTAGCAAGAAAATAATGCATAGTTTGTAACTTTGGAGTCAGGAGAGAAAGATGCAGATTATGGATGACAAATGTGAAGTGAAAACATCGCTCCTTAACAGCTGTGAAATCCCCTTTGACCCTCCTCCTACTTTTAAAAATCAACTTGGTGCTTAGCATTTTCCTAAAATGAAACTACAAATATTTCCTTCACTAGAGAAATATGGTCTCACTCATTATAGTGACTTATAGCACACTGAACAAAGAGGGTCCTATTCTGAATAGATTCTATACACACAAAGAGAGAATGGTCTGCAAAGAGATTGCCCATATGCAAAGTCCGAAGAAAGTCAGTTACTAAAAGAATTGCATAAATTCTTCCCCCCTGCTTATCTGGAAACCCAAATGGCAAATTCTCCTAAGAATTTTATCTCAAGTCACTTCTATTATGCCCATAATATGACCCTCCAGGATTTGCTTGCAGCTCATCTCCATTTTATTTTCTTTGATTATTTAATCATTCATGAAAGCCTCTCTCCTGTCTGGCACTTCCATTTCTATAGAAGCTGATAATAGAAAGATATATTTTTAAAGCATCCAGTGAGGGACTTCATTAATTCCACACACTCTCAAGACAGCACCTACTTGAAGATGATCAGGATGTTTTGCTGGCGAATACATGACTCCTGATTCTTGCTCTTTGAAGGTCATTTGGCTGAAAGCAATTTCACTTGTCTTTTGTTTCTTTAACCTAATTATTCCCAAACTTTGTATTTTTTTTAAATCAGATCTCAGCTAATAATCAGATTCTGTCATCAAACATGGAACAAGCCTTTTGTTGGCAGGAAGTATGAAAACCTAGGGAAGCTCACCGAATTTATAATGTGGATTTTATGTTTCATTTTCCTTACAATTTTTACTATGATGTTCAAAGATTTTTATTATTATTATTAAGACTTGCATTGTTCTCTATAAGACCAAAACTGATTTTCAGAACTTAAAGTTCCTACTCAAATGCTCTGTTATTTGGAAGCATCTATTTCTGCCTCCATATTACTCTGTCCTTCTTCTATTCTACTCCTCTTTCTTTCTCCTCCAGCTTTTCCCCATTCTCTGTTGTTTTTACAATGACCATGTTGTCAAGAGTTATGTATGGCACATATTGAAAATATTAGCATGCAATTGTCAGATGAATGAGAGGTAAACCTCATAGCTGTGAAAAATCACATATTGCTATTATTTTTTATTTTGTTTGGTTTTATTTTTGTGTGTGTGTGTGTGTGTGTGTGTGTGTGTGTGTGTGTGTGTGTTTGAGACAGGATCTCATTCTGTTGCCCAGGCTGGAATGCAGTGGCCTGATCATGGCTCACTGCAGCCTCCCCTCCTGGGCTCAAGCCATCCCCCTACCTCAGCTTCCTGAGTAGCCGGGACTACCGACATGCACCGCCACACCCAGCTAGTATTGTTTTTATCTTTTGTAGAGACAGGGTCTCACTGTGTTGCCCAGGTTGGTCTAGAATTCCTTGGCTCAAGGGATCCTACTGCCTTGGCCTCCCAAAGTGCTGGAATTACAGATGTGAGCCACTGCACCTGGCCGGTATATTTTTTAAAATATAAAAAAATCATATCACAGTAATAAGTAGATGGCCATTACCTTAGCTATGTATACACTTTTGATAATGCATAGAGAGGTTGTTTGTTGCTCCTTCTCTAAAATGTATTCCTCTAATTTGATCACTGTCCTACTTCAGTGGAGTAGGAGAACATTAAAAAAGCCTGTGGAGATCGGACCTATCCTTGGCTACTTTTTCTTGCTGGGCATTATAAGAAGTTCTGCTGCACTCTAAATCTGCTGCTGTTTCCTGAGGCACAATCCTAGAATTGTGAAAATTGTTGATCCAATTTAGATGAGAGAGTCTTATAAAACAGCAGCACATTTTAAGCCCACATTACACAGCAAATCCAGCATAGAATCCGTTCTAAAACAATGTGTGCTGGATGTTATGATAGGAAGTATTAAAAATTAAAAGGCTATATGATATAAATGACTATATATTTTTTATTTTTCAGAAGGCAAGCTCTATATCAATAAATATGCAGTTACACTAGTAGCCTTTTGAGGTGTGTATATGTGTATGTGCATGTATGTATGTGTATGAAGGAGGAGAGAGAATGAGAAGAGAGTGTGTATAATAAGAGTAACAATAATATAAATAATGTATATTTATTTAGTGTTTAGTATATATTAGATAAGACAGGGATGGGACTAGGATGAAACAAGAGAGGTACTCACTTCAGAAGCAAAATTTAGGAATGTGCCAAAGTCAGTAATCAAAATTAATAACATTTTAAAACAGAGTTTTTTAAAAATCATACGACAAAATATTTCATGATGAAAAATATCAGATTATTAAATAAAGCAGGTTGAATAGTAAGGTCCAAAACTCTTTGCTTACATTGTCTGGTTTAATATCCCTAGCATCCATATAGAGTTGGCATAATTGTTATACATATTTTACTGATAAGAAACCTGAGGCCCAGCACGGTGGGTTGTGCCTGTAATCCTAGTGCTTTGGGAGGCTGAGGTGGGAGGATTGCTTAAGCTCAGGAATTCAAGACCAGCCTGGGCAAGTTAGGGAGACCCGCTCTCTAGAAAAACATGATTAAAAAATTCTTAAATAAAAAGAAGAAAAAATATAAACCTGAGGCTTAGAGTCATGAAGAACAAAAAGAGAGCAAATCACCTGACAGTTTGCAGCCCCAGGTTTGGAAGAGCATTTGCTGGAAGTCCAGAGATAGACATAGGTATTGCCTAATGGCCATTGTGCCCTGGGCAGTGCACAGGAATCTAGGCAGGACTGGATGGTAGATGCAGAAAGGAACCATGACTAACGGTTTTGGCTTTCCAGCTGAAAAGTTAGGGGCAGTACTGATCGGCCTGATGAAAATGAAGCTGGCTTGTTATAATGTGGTGGACTGGTAGCCTCCAAGCCCTGTTCTTGTGCCTTGATATCCAGGGTTGGTGGAGCACTAGTACCATTCCTGACATAAATAGGAGCAAGAATCCATGCACTGGGTGCAGCTGGATTGTTGAAAATTTTCTGTCTTGCCCAAACCTCAACACATTCTTAGTGAGAGGCCCAAGTTCCTCCACTATATGATATAACTTCAGTACAGTCCGCTGCGGCCTCAGAGAACTGTGACTGATTGCCTGAAGCTCCCAGGTGTGGCCAGTTTCCAGGGAGCAGTTTTCAATTCTCAAATGGCCTTGTTCTGTAGGAGACCAACTGTTTTGCTGGGAGGCCATCCTTCAGGAAAACTCATCTTTCAGGGGCTCCCTGTGTTAGCCCTTAACTCAAGTTTTTACTGTATTTGTGCAAGGCCATAGAGCCAATAGATTTGGAAAGTAAGGATTCAAATACAGGTCTGTCAGATTCCACAGCTCAAGCATTTAGCCACTGTGTAATATTGATGTCATGTATTCATTCATCTGGAAAATATTTAATCTAGCTTATCTTGTGCCAGATCATTTTCTAAGTGCTGGATATACAATAGTAAAGAGGACAGTCACCATCTTTATCTTCACAGAGTTTATTGGTTAAAAGACAAGGAACGTAAATCTTTATGATTTTAAAGCAAAGGAAATCTTTCAGTGGGTCACTCCCCTTTCTCCAGGTTTATGTTGTGTGACATGCTATAATGGACCATGCAAGACAATCATAATGTATTTAAAATGAAATCCAGTCCAGACCACAGCTTGCGAGGCTGTGAATTTGGAGGGCCTTGCTATCTTTCACCATCATTTCATACCACAGTCTCCCTTGCTTGTTATATTCCAACAATTCTGGTCTTGCTTTTTAGTTCCTCAAACATACCAAGGTCCTTTTTGCCTTGGGAAATGCTGTTCTCTGTATTGGTAATTTCCCTCTACTGGCTTTTCTCTCCAAGCTATTTCATCTTTTGGGTCTCAGTCTAAATTTCCATTCCCAGAGAGGCCTCACATGACCACGCTAAGACAAGTGGATGATCGCTGTAATCATTTTAGTTCTTTCTCGGTCTCTCATTGTTCCTTGTTTCCTCATCACAAATTGTAATTTGTAATAATTGTATGTATTTACTCGTTTACTTTTCTTAGTCCTCTTTAACAGACATTAAGGCTGGAAACAGGTTTGTCTTGTTTGCTATTACATGCCTAGAAAATTGCAGAGTGTCTTACATAAAATAAATGCTCACTAGATATTTGCTGAATGCATGTTATAATACTATGCATGTAGCAATAAGAGCTACCTTCAACCAGGATTTAATCTGTTCCAAACACTTCTTTAAGTGCTCACAACAATTCATAATGTAGAAGCTATTTTCATGAAAACATCTTATTTTATAATTATAAAATAATCTTTTATAAGAGAAGAAATGCAAATAGTGCAGAAGGTTTCTTTTATCTAAATCAACTTTCCAGATGTAACTACTGTTCATAGCAAGCTACCTATTCTTGCAGATATGTTTTTATGACTATAAATGCTCTCAGATTGATCTGTGGCCCCAAATGTCAGTAACTCCACATTTTAAAGTGAGTCTATAGACCAACTGTAGAGAACTTACAAGAGTTGATTAAGAGCAAAGAAATAAAATTTCTGCTATTGGCCACACATTTCCATCCTTTAAGACTCAGGAAACCAAAAAAGAAGATGCTGAAGTTTAGATAAAGGATTTATTTGGAGAGACTTGTTAGTGCTGTGGGTTCTATCCATGCATGCCTTGGCCAGGGTGTTCTTTTCCCTCACTTCAAGCCTCCTCTAAAAGAGTGCATCAGATTTTTCCCCATGAAGATTTCTGGGGCAGCAAAGGAGAGGTTGTATCTGTGAGGCAATTTCATTTCTGAGGATGAGAGATCAACTGTGCATGTTTTCATTTGGCTAGATATGAACCACGTGTGAGAAAGAGCAGCTCTGGTATTGTTGGAGAGAGCTGCCTAAAGGAGCAAAGAACCCTATGCTAAAAGTGTTGCCACCAAATGCCTGAGGGTGAGGGGAAATCTGAGTCACATTTATATGAGTCAATAGAGCTGTACTTGTTTCTGAAGAAATCTTCAGGAGTAGATGTTTCTGAAGAACTTAAAAAGTACCACAGAGAAGAAAAAGTTAGCCTAACATATACCTGGTTCAGAGGAAACAAATGACAGACTGCATTAGTACTAGTTAGCAAGACATTTGCTGGTCCTACCTGCCCTCCTGCTTTTGCAGAAAGAAATAGGGATAACAATAGCATTACCTTGTAGTTGATTGATTGTATATTGACGTGGAAGTATTTGCATGGCATAATGCAGAATAGGAGGCATGGCATGCTCCTAATTTTATTTTTTTAAAGTGTGTGTGTGTGTGTGTGTGTGTGTGTGTGTGTGTGTGTGTGTGCAGTTTCATAGATTGATCAAATGGGACTCCAGGTACAACAAGAAAACAATTGAATTTCTTTTTTTATCATTATTATTATTATTATACTTAAAGTTTTAGGGTACATGTGCACAATGTGCAGGTTTGTTACATATGTATACATGTGCCATGCTGGTGTGCTGCACCCATTAACTCGTCATTTAGCATTAGGTATATCTCCTAATGCTATCCCTCCCCCTCCCCCCACCCCACAACAGTCCCCGGAGTGTGATGTTCCCCTTCCTGTGTCCATGTGTTCTCATTGTTCAATTCCCACCTATGAGTGAGAACATGCGGTGTTTGGTTTTTTGTCCTTGCGATAGTTTGCTGAGAATGATGGTTTCCAGCTTCATCCATGTCCCTACAAAGGACATGAACTCATCATTTTTTATGGCTGCATAGTATTCCATGGTGTATATGTGCCACATTTTCTTAATCCAGTCTATCATTGTTGGACATTTGGGTTGGTTCCAAGTCTTTGCTATTGTGAATAGTGCCACAATAAACATACATGTGCATGTGTCTTTATAGCAGAATGATTTATAATCCTTTGGGTATATACCCAGTAATGGGATGGCTGGGTCAAATGGTATTCTGGTTCTAGATCCCTGAGGAATCGCCACACTGACTTCCACAATGGTTGAACTAGTTTACAGTCCCACCAACAGTGTAAAAGTGTTCCTGTTTCTCTACATCCTCCCCAGCACCTGTTGTTTCCTGACTTTTTAATGATCACAATTCTAACTGGTGTGAGATGGTATCTCATTGTGGTTTTGATTTGCATTCTCTGATGGCCAGTGATGATGAGCATTTTTTCATGTGTTTTTTGGCTGCATAAATGTCTTCTTTTGAGAAGTGTCTGTTCATATCCTTTGCCCACTTTTTGATGGGGTTGTTTGTCTTTTTCTTGTAAATTCGTTTGAGTTCATTGTAGATTCTGGATATTAGCCCTTTGTCAGATGAGTAGGTTGCGAAAATTTTCTCCCATTTTGTAGGTTGCCTGTTCACTCTGATGGTAGTTTCTTTGCTGTGCAGAAGTTCTTTAGTTTAATTAAATCCCATTTGTCAGTTTTGGCTTTTGTTGCCATTGCTTTTGGTGTTTTAGACATGAAGTCCTTGCCCATGCCTATGTCCTGAATGGTATTGCCTAGGTTTTCTTCTAGGGTTTTGATGGTTTTAGGTCTAACATTTAAGTCTTTAATCCATCTTGAATTAATTTTTGTATAAGGTGTAAGGAAGGGATCCAGTTTCAGCTTTCTACATATGTCTAGCCAGTTTTCCCAGCACCATTTATTAAATAGGGAATCCTTTCCCCATTGCTTGTTTTTCTGAGGTTTGTCAAAGATCAGATAGCTGTAGATATGCAGCATTATTTCTGAGGGCTCTGTTCTGTTCCATTGGTCTATATCTCTGTTTTGGTACCAGTACCATGCAGTTTTGGTTACTGTAGCCTTGTAGTATAGTTTGAAGTCAGGTAGCCTGATGCCTCCAGCTTTGTTCTTTTGGCTTAGGATTGACTTGGTGATGCGGGCTCTTTTTTGGTTCTATATGAACTCTAAAGTAGTTTTTTCCAATTCTGTGAAGAAAGTCATTGGTAGCTTGATCGGGATGGCATTGAATCTATAAATTACCTCGGGCAGTATGGCCATTTTCACGATATTGATTCTTCCTACCCATGAGCATGGAATGTTCTTCCATTTGTTTGTATCCTCTTTTATTTCCTTGAGCAGTGGTTTGTAGTTCTCCTTGAAGAGGTCCTTCACATCCCTTGTAAGTTGGATTCTAGGTATTTTATTCTCTTTGAAGCAATTGTGAATGGGAGTTCACTCATGATTTGGTTCTCTGTTTGTCTGTTACTGGTGTATGGGAATGCTTGTGATTTTCGTACATTGATTTTGTATCCTGAGACTTTGCTGAAGTCGCTTATCAGCTTAAGGAGATTTTGGGCTGAGACAATGGGGTTTTCTAGATATACAAACATGTCATCTGCAAACAGGGACAATTTGACTTCCTCTTTTCCTAATTGAATACCCTTCATTTCCTTCTCCTGCCTGACTGCCCTGGCCAGAACTTCCAACACTATGTTGAATAGGAGTGGTGAGAGAGGGCATCCCTGTCTTGTGCCAGTTTTCAAAGGGAATGCTTCCAGTTTTTGCCCATTCAGTATGATATTGACTGTGGGTTTGTCATAGATAGCTCTTATTATTTTGAGATACGTCCCATCAATACCTAATTTCTTGAGAGTTTTTAGCATGAAGGGTTGTTGAATTTTGTCAAAGGCCTTTTCTGCATCTATTGAGATAATCATGTGGTTTTTGTCTTTGGTTCTGTTTATATGCTGGATTACATTTATTGATTTGCATATATTGAACCAGCCTTGCATCCCAGGGATGAAGCCCACTTGATCATGGTGGATAAACTTTTTGATGTGCTGCTGGATTCCTTTTGCCGGTATTTTATTGAGGATTTTTGCATCAATGTTCATCAAGGATATTGGTCTAAAATTCTCTTTTTTGGTTGTGTCTCTGCCCAGCTTTGGTATCAGGATAATGCTGGCCTCATAAAATGAGTTAGGGAGGATTCCCTCTTTTTCTGTTGATTGGAATAGTTTCCGAAGGAATGGTACCAGTTCCTCCTTGTACCTCTGGTAGAATTGGGCTGTGAATCCATCTGGTCCTGGACTCTTTTTGGTTGGTAAGCTATTGATAATTGCCACAATTTCAGATCCTGTTATTGGTCTATTCAGAGAGTCAACTTCTTCCTGGTTTAGTCTTGGGAGGGTGTATGTGTCCAGGAATTTATCCATTTCTTCTAGATTTTCTTGTTTATTTGTGTAGAGGTGTTTGTAGTATGCTCTGATGGTAGTTTGTATTTCTGTGGGATCGGTGGTGATATCCCCTTTATCATTTTTTATTGTGTCTATTTGATTCTTCTCTCTTTTCTTCTTTATTAGTCTTGCTAGCGGTCTATCAATTTTGTTGATCCTTTCAAAAAACCAGCTCCTGGATTCATTAATTTTTTGAAGGGTTTTTTGTGTCTCTATTTCCTTCAGTTCTGCTCTGATTTTAGTTATTTCTTGCCTTCTACTAGCTTTTGAATGTGTTTGCTCTTGCTTTTCTAGTTCTTCTAATTGTGACATTAGGGTGTCAATTTTGGATCTTTCCTGCTTTCTCTTGTGGGCATTTAGCAAGCTGTATGTAGTCCAAATTTAGCAGGCATAAAGGGAGGACTATTGTTGATTAGGATGCAATGTGTGCATATCTTAAGGATTATATCTTAGAATGGACAATAACTTTTTGTACAACCAGTACATCTGGATGAGGTTTTGATTGTTTCAAGTCTAGGAGAATTTTGCTAATGGTTGTTGTGTTGCATAACTTTAAAAGTGAAACCCCACTGGTGTGCAGATACATGTGCCATTGCACATAGCTTAGAATCAAGGCTTATGAAGGTCATCAGGGTCAGAACTTGGCTCTGCACTTACTGACTATGTAAGTAAGAGCATGGACAACTTGCTTCATCTCGAGCCTCATTTCTTCATTTCTAAAATTAGGTTAAAAATACCCATCTCACGTGTTTGTTCTCTATTCAAAAGAAAACACGGTTTAAAAGCACTTAGTTGGCATGTGTTATAGGCTCAAAATTTGTAGCCATCATTATAACCCCATTTCTCTTACTTTCTGCTCCAGTTGGATGGAGGTAAGGGAAAGGATTTTCTGTTTCAATGTGTCCAGGGCCATTATCCAAGCTCTGAAAAGACCTTGGTAAGTGGGGCACGGCCAACAAATCACTTGTTCTGGTCTCATATAACAACAATGGCAGACTGTCTTGTGTGGGAGGCAGGACCTTTATGATCTATGAGACTTTTACTATGTTGATATTGCTGTAGATGTTCCAACAGTGTCTTTCTTGGAATTTATAGACAGAAAAACCCATGACCTTGCAATCTTCAAAACAGGAAGAATAGAAACTGAAAAAATTTTTATGTTTTTTTTGTTGTTTGTTTGTTTTTGTTTGATTTTTTTAGCACATCCAAGATTCTTTTATTTGGACTGAACCCTGACCTATATATTCAACAAGAACAGCTAATTAGCTAGTTTTTCTATCTGTTTACATGCATCTAACACTGATGAAATTTTGGGGAAGGCATTAGCATAAAGTACAGAAAAGGAACATTGTCTCTGCTCTTTCTACATCATCATGACCCCACCCCAAATCCAAGCTCCACATGGCAGCCAAAGGGGCATTTTACAAATACCGTCTTGACTTGTGTAATGAACTGAGTTGGGTTTCCCCAAATTTACATGTTGAGGTTATAGTATCTGGTGTCTATATTTACAGATAGACCTTTAAAAAAGTAATCAAAGTTAAATGAAGTCATTAGGAGGCATCCTAATCTAATAGGATTCCTTATAAGAAAAGGAAGAGATATCAGGAGTGTGCATGCACAGAGAAAAGGCCAGGTGAGGATGCAGCCATAAGGCAGCCATCTGCAAGGCAGGGAGAGAGGACTCACCAGAAACCAACCCTTCTGCCACCTTGATCTTGGACTTACTAGCCTCCAGAACTGTGGAAAAATAAAATTTGGTTGTTTAAGCCACCCAGACTGTCATATTCTGTTGTGGCAGCCTTAGCCAACTTAAAAACCTTAAAAGTCCCTATCACTCCCCTTTTAGTTCTGAATAAAATTGAGTCTTCTTCAGATGGCCTCTGAAACCCTGTGTTTGGCCTTTCCACTTTTCCAAACTTATCTACTGCTCTTTTCTCCTACTACATGCCATCCACAGGGACTTGAATTCCTTTGACAGACAAAGTTTGTTGGAAAAAAAATAGTTATCAATGTCCTTACACTTGAAGCTTGTTTATCTGGAACTCTGTTTCCCTGATAGTTTGCAAGGCTTCTTCTCTTTATTCAAGTCTCATTTTAAATGCCTTCTCATCAGAGAGGTTATATCTGAGCATTCAGTCTCAAGTATCTCTCCTTCTCCCCTACCCTCAGTACTTTTGACCATCTTATTTTATTCCCTTATCAGCATTTATTACTGTCAGACCTTATCTCCTTTATTTACCATCTATGTGTTTATTGTATGTCATTTCTCACTGAAGTGAAAGCTCCCAGAGTGCAGGAACCTGTCTATCTTGGTGAATGTCTGTTCTCTATCTCATTGTCCAGCAGAGAGCCTGATATATGAGCTGCCCAGTATGTGCATATTGGATGTTGAATGAATGCATGCTTTTCTTCTTTCTGTTCCCTATTTCCCATTTCCCTTTCCACTCTATGCCTGTCTCATGGCTCATGTCCCAAGCTTCATGTTTTCAGATATCTGCTCCAATTAACTAAAAGCTCTTATCAAATTAAGAGAATCCTTTCACAGGTGCAGTTGTATTTCCCTTGAAATTGGACTTCTTAGGTTGGAAATTTAGTCAAAAGGACAAATATTGATAGATACGATGACTTATTCAGTGCCCCTCAAGTTGAGATCACCATCAGTAGCTTTTCATTCTCTCATCCCAAAGCTCTTATAGGGTCTTTAGATCTATAAGAGATAGTAGTCTTATATGAGGTAGAACACTGTCTTGTTTTGAAGGTCTTTCATTGCATCAGGGCTTCAACAAAAGAGAATTCCTTCTGCCCTGGAAGTATGAGAGGGAGAAAATGTGGGAATGTGTTGGTCACAAATACAGAAAAGCTCCATAACCTGACAACATTGAAAATCTGTAGTGCATAGTGTAAGCCACTAAACTATGGTTAGATTGACTTACAGCAACTATACCACTTCACATGCTGATAAGACAAAAAAGTAATGTGTTTAAAACCAAATAGAATTCCTAATCACTAGTTTCCTCGTTTTAAGATGCCCCCAATCTATTATCAAACCCTTTATCTCCATCTGTTCCTGCAAATTGTTCTAACTGAAGCCTTCTGATTAATGCTGTGATCTTTCTTGTCATGTTTCATTACAAGTGTTTGTATAGGAAATATTATCTTGCCTTCATGGAGGAAGACTCGAAGTTCATTTCCTTCTTCACTTCACTATGCTGAGCCTAAGCTCAGTTTCAATATCAAACACGGAGAGAATGATCTGAATCTAATAGAGTAGAGATTGGTTACGGAGAAGAATTGACCAGGCCCCTACAAATAAACATGGTTTCTCAACCAGTATCTTGCTAACAGCTCCTTCCCCCTATTTTATTAAAATAGCTTGACTAACTGGAATGGTTCCAGATTTGTTTTCCCATTGGCATCCAATGCATAATTTCAGTAATTTGCAGATAAAGATTGTATTAGGTGGTGTTATATACTTAGCATTGAATATATACTTATTTTTCCCCAATTGGGCGTAACAGAAAAAGGCTACTTCAGTTCACAGAATTCTTAGCACACAGATGGCTTACCAGTTCATTGAACAGCTCTAATGAAAACAGGCCTCTGTAAGTTTAAATGCTACCATCAGTCTATCCCATTTGGCTTATCCCGATTGCCTATGCATGTAGAACCGTGTCCCTATTTTGCTTTAAACTCAATTTGATTCAAGAGAAGTTGCTTGTATTTCCTTTGCCACAAACATAAAGAGCAAAGGCAAATCCTACCAACATCCCTGACCTTTAACAGGAGAGAAAAATAACCATGACATCAGATCAGCTGAGAGGGCTGATGAGACAACTTGCAGCTGAAAAGAGAAGTGAGGATAAGGAAAAAAATAAAACCTTTAAAATTATAATAGACTGGGAGATGAAATATATTACCTTCACGCCCTGGCAATGATTTCTGCTGAGAAGGGCATAGTCTTATTTTCCCCCTTTTCCCCTTAAGAAACAATTTTCTAGGAATGTGAAGTGTTTTTTTCCCTATTAAATGGAAAATCATTGCAGTTTTTGCAGTAATACTAAAAAAACTAATAAGAGAATACATTCTATTTGTGAATATATTATCCTTTTGGCAGACTTGCAAGAACAAATCAGCAGCAATGTTTGGTCTGGCATTTATTTCTATGTATAGGAACTCTCCCTAAAGTAAGTTGCTGATAACATTAAGTACAGCTTATTAAAATAGATGGCAAGACTTTTAAAGGACTTGCATCTTCTTTGCTTATAAAGAAAGAAAAAATTCTAGTAAATAAAACTTCTGATGTTTATACAATCATATGCTATGGATTAGCCATTTAAATATATGGGATATAAGATGAAGCATGAATGCATATTATCAATATTTTTATGATCAATTTGTTATTCTTCAAAAATAGCAAAGTTATTATTCACCGTGCCAACCTTTCTCCAATTCACAAATAAGAAAGATGAAAAACTCGGCAACCACTTATTTACATAATCTTTTTCTTGGTAAGCTCTCTAAGTTAGTTGGCATGATATTTTCACCTTGTGATCAGACTCAATTTCAAACCTACTCAGTATTATGGTATTTCCCTTAAGATGACTGCAGAGTTGTTTAGCTGGATATATAGTAATAATAATGTTTGTTAGGGTAGTAAAATAATAAAATAAAAAGAACTAACCCTACTCCAGTATGCCTATTTTCTAATTTAGCTGATTTTTAAAAACAATCTTTAATTTCACCCTTAGATATTCTATATTTTGTTTCTCATGTATTGTATATTTTATTTAAATAAAAGTATAGTGGGATACATAATTTTTTATTTTCATTTCCTGCGTATCTTAATCATTGTTACCTGTCTCGCGTTTTATGAACAGCAGTCTTCCTGAGGACTGCTTCTAGAATGAAGTAGTAGCAGTTCTGGCCCTCTGAAAACTCTGAATCATTATGTTGCTGGATAAAAGTTTATGTTTATTTGTTATTATAGTGATGGTTGTATTTAGAGAAAAACACCACTTTAACCTCTGCAATTTATTTAGTAATAGATAACATTTATTTAGTAGATACTGCCTGATAGACACTGTTGTAAGTGTGTGGTAACCCAAAAGAGAAGAGATGCCATATTCAAAAAGGAGGATTTGGGAGTTTAATTAAGGGGCTATTCACAAAAATATGGGCAGGATTAAGGTAAACCAATAGAAGCTGGTGAGGTACCTCTAAACTAGAAGGAGCAAAAGGTGGGAGAGGTTAACAGAACTTGGCAAAACTGTAGGTGTGGAAGAATGCCACTCAGTGTCTGCCACTCAGTACTTCAGTTTTGGTTGCCAACTGCAGCACTCTCTATCTGTGGCCTGGCAGGGAGCTGGGCTATAGGGAAAGGTACACAGACCTCATTTTCCTTCTGACCTCCCATCTCCTGTGGTGTCTTGCATTTGCTGAACCTGATAGGAAACCAGAAGAGAAGGAGGCTTTATCGCAGCAGAATACACAAGCCTGCCTCCCAGGCACCAAAATGCGGGGAGAAAAGTGGATTGTAAACCCATGGAGGTGAGTGGAAACCCTCCAGCCCAAAGTGATTCCTGTGGATAACTGATTTAATCATCACAATAACTATACCATACCGATAAATAACATTAGTCCTATTTTACAGGTGAGGCAACTGATTTAGGCACTCTGCCGTTAGGTCATACATTTCATGAGCAGCAGAGGAAAGATTTGAACCCAGACAGTCTTTTTGCACAAACAGTACTCTGACTCACTACGATGTGCTACCCAAGGAATAGCTTTCTCCCTGCTCCAAGGACAAAACCCAAGACACAGAACATGGCTCTCTTCCTGGAGGGTTTCTTCCCTTTCATGCTTTCCCATTTTTGTGTCTACACATTTAATTTGAGAACCTTAGCAGCCATGGGATAGTGTGATATTTGTCATTCACCTTAGGGTGTAGATAACCATGTGAGACATTCTTCTCAGAACAGTTATATTCTTTGAATCAGTGAACTATTTTAAGAAAATAGGCCCATGACTTCCTAGAATTATTTTAAAATTGCAGGGTAGGAGTGAGACACAGGGAAGGGTGATAAAAAGCATATGGAGAAAGAAACTAAATATTGGCTATATGTTATGCTAGGTATTTTCATGTAGTAATATTAATAGTAGTAGCAATAATAGAAAATGTCATAATAATAGAAAACATTTATTGAACATTTACTACATATCATCCCCTAGATCTAATTTTTGCATATTACGTTAAGTAATCTTCATAACAAATGAATGGGGTAGGAATTAGAATGCTCATGTTATACATAAGAAGTTGAGATTTTGTTGGGTTAAGATCGTCACATAGACACAAACAAAAGTTAAAGCTCTAAATCAAACATAAGATTGTCTGATGTCAAAAGCCCTGATCCTAACCAATGTGTATCCTTACTGTTAAGCTTTGTCAGATATCTGATCATTATTCAACTAGCTTTTTAGGTGCCTAAGGGACTTATATAGCTCATCCAGTTTTCCAAAGTTAATAAAGGACAAGGCTGGAATTGGAACCCATCAATAGGACTTCAGTACCATTTCTAATAAGAAGCACACAAAGGCATCAATTGTGTAATTTTATCTACTAGCACAATGAAGTCTCCTAGAAAAAGTGAACTGCTATTTTCATTGTGCTCACTTTAATAAGCCATAAAGGTTTAGGGTATATCTTATGTAATAATTCCACTAATGAAAATCAAAAGTGACATCAGTGGAATCAATTGAGTGAGTGGACACTTAGCTGGACAATTTGTTTCTTTTGTCACTTAGTCACTGCAGTCATTTACAAACCATCTAACCAGGCCTAGAGATTTAGTTTTCAAATTAGTTATTGATCTAAACTCTAGGAAGCACAGTTTTTTTTTTTTTCCAGATTCAGAGGAATCCACAAAAGAAAAGCTTCAGGGTTATGATGAACAAATGTCTCATTTTTAAAGAACTTTCTTGTAGTTCTGAATCTGTACCTTAAAGAGATAACACATTGGTATTTTCTATAAGGAGTGACTCAAGAAAACATGAGGGAGGATCTTAACCTAGTACTCTTTGTTTTTTTTTTTTTTTCTTTTTGAGACGGAGTTTCGCTCTTGTTGCCCAGGCTGGAGGGCAATGGTGCAATCTTGGCTCACTGCAACCTCTGCCTCCCATTAACCCTAGTACTGTTTATCATACACCTCTGCAATGACTCAGGTCACAGTCACATTCTGATATTATAATTTGAATGGTTTATTCTTATATGTATTAGTTTTCTATTACTGCATAACAAGTTATCAATCACTTAGAAGCATAAAACAACACACATTCATTATCTCACAGTTCTGTGAGTTAGGAGTATTGGTAAAGCTTAGCTAGATTCTCTGCTCAGGGTCTCGTAAGGCTGTAATCAAAGTGCTTCCAAGCTGGATTCTTATCTGGAGGCTGGATTGGAGAGGAGTCTGCTTCTAAGCCTACTCAGGTCAGTGGCAGAATGCATTTCCTTGAGGCTAAAAGGTGTACGTCCTTGGCTTCTTGTTGACTGTTGTCCAGGGGTTGCTGTCAGCAGTAAGAGGCCAATTGCAAATCTGTCACATTACCCTCCCTACAGGCCCTTCTATAATATGATAGCTTACTTTTTCAAGGCCAGAAACAGAGAGGAAGAGACTTTAGCAATACCTAGACAGGTACTAGAGACTTATGTAATCACCATAATCTTTGCCACACTCAGATTAGAAGCAAGTCCTAGATCCCACCCCCCACTCAAGGTAAGAACATTTCACAAAGGTATGAATGATAGGAGTCAAGAACCATGAAGGCCACCTTAAAATCTGTCCTACACTTTGCTAAAATGGAAACAAGCTCATTCTGGAAAGGTGCATTGAATAGTTCCAAACATATTATATCATTGAAAAGGCCAAAGTCTAGAGTTTTCTGGGCGATAACCTTTAGCCATGTGTAGTAAATAGATTTTTAGGAATCTTACTGTCTGGTAAGTATTAGAGTCCCATTAAATCTAGCTTACACTATAAAAAACAATTTGTAGACAAGAAGCTACCTGTCTTACAATATCTGGACTTTGGGCACTGTTTGGAATCATGTATGAAGTAGTTGTAGGAAAGCAGAATTTCTCTATTTCCATCTCTTGTTTTTGTTTCATTTTGACCTGTTGTATTCTCCTTTCATATTATAGACAATTTTCTCTTTTGTATTGGCCCACATGCAGGAAAATGGTTGGAATGGAAGAAAGGCTTAAAAGAAGTGTCCATTTATGCACTTTGGGCCAAGAATTTAACTATGAATTATACATTCATGACCAAGGGGCAAAATTATGTATCTGATTGTGCTTACCTCAATCATGTTTTACTTGGAGGTGGGGAAAAAAGGAAGACTTTCTAGAAAAGTGATAAATGATAGAGTTGGAGTCTTTTCTGCCTTATTTAATGTCTAGGAAATCTCTCTCTCTCTCTCTCTCTTTCTCTTTCTGTCTCTATTTTTCTATTTAGTGAGTGAGAGAGCAGACTGTGCTTTTCATGAACTTGAGTCTTAAGGTCCTGAAGTACTGGCATTTTTTAGCACTGTGATTTATACATTTAAATGTTCAATAAATGCTGAATTTAATCTGTTCTATTTTCAGTGACAGCAAGTCAGAATTCTACTCTGTTGCTTAAAGCCTTCCAAAGGCTTCCTATTTTCTTCAGGACTTTCAAAGATGATGGGCTATGTGGCTTATAGGATGAGGCCACTGTTTCTTCTCTGACCTCATCTCCACCTACTTTTCCTCTCTTTCACTGAGCTTCAACCACACTGGCCTTCTTGGAAGCACCAACCAACTTTTTTGTCTCAGCTCTTTACGCTTGCCCCCCAACCTTTTTTTTTTTTTTTTTTTTTTTTTTTTAGACAGAGTCTTGCTCTGTTGCCAGGCTGGAGGCTGGAAAGCAGTGGCACAATCCTGGCTCACTGCAACCTCCACCTCCCGGTTTCAAGCGATTCTCCTGCCTCAGCCTTCTGAGTACCTGGGACTACCGGTGCGCACCACCACGCCCAGCTAATTTTTGTATTTTTAGTAGAGACAGGGTTTCACTCTGTTGGCCAGGATGGTCTCCATCTCTTGACCTCATGATCTACCCGCATCGGCCTCCCAAAGTGCTGGGATTACAGGTGTGAGCCACCACATCCGGCTGATCACCACTTTTAAAATTGCGAATGCTCTTCCTTGTTCCTTCATTTCCTACTGGCATTCCCTAATTTATTGCATCTACACCATTTATCATCAACCAGCATACAATATACTCTGTTTTACTTGCTCACATGTTTAGTATATATTTCCACATCTAACATGTAATCATGTGGGCAGGCATTTTTGTCAGTTTAATTCAATGTTATGTTGCTTGTGATCAGGGCTTGGTACATAGGAACCTTTAAATATGTATGTATTTATCACAGTAATTGACTTTATGGCCACCCACATTATTTGTTTAGATTGAGACTGTGGGAAAATTTCTTTGGGCCATTCTTTTCAGCAGTGTGTAAAAGGCATATTCCTAGAGCATGCATAGGATGCCAGGTGGAAGTAGAAGGCACTGGGGAGTGTGAAAGGAGGACATTTGAGCTGCAGTTCGATGTAGTTCTATGGCCTCTGAAATTCTTTGTTTTATACATCATTGTTTATACATACTTTATAATTTAGTGCCTCTTAGTTTTCTGGTCATTGAGAGCTATGCTCTTTGCATTGTTTCTGCAGCTTTTTAAATTTAAACATTGAGTAGAATATTCATATAACTAGAACATAAAAAAGGAATGTAGTCAATGTCAAAATCATATGCCGTAAAAATGACCATAAAATGGCAGTCTTTTGGTTGTGCAACTGATGTTATACCTTGTTTTATTAGCCCTGGCAGAATTTTGTAAATTGGATTCATATTTCCTAATTTCTATCAGTTTGGCTTTTTCATTACTTTCAGCTTGGACAATCAAAATAAGGCATTCATTATGTTTCTCTGCTGTGTTTGCACTTCTATCCAGGCAATAAACAGGAGAGATGCTTGCATATACAAATCAGATAGAGAAGAAACTCTGCTTATAAATTGAAGACTTTATAGCTGATCTCATGGCCTTTCTCATTCACCAGGAAGGTTGGGGCAAATTCATTCCTTTTATTAGGGGGAGTAATATAAAATAGTTTGGGTGACTAAGACAAATGATTTCAGTGATTAGGGAGAACATAATATGTCATAAATGCATTAACTTGTTCCCAATCTTATTCACTGCATCAGGCACTGTTCATGCACCACTGCATAGCCTCTCAGTTTTGCCTGAGTCTTATTTCAGCAGAGGCTGCAGTGATGCACTCTGAAAGGATTCTGACCAGCTTCACTCAGGCTCAACCTGCCAGTGTCTGCCTCATACCTCTGCCATGTACTTCTTGCCTCCCACCCTGGGTCTTCTGTGTTGACATGGGGCTTTGCATGTGGTGGACTTTCCTCTGTGACCATAATAGTGAAACCTGCTTCCTTCTTCACTTTCCTGACCTTTATCTTGCTCGCTGGGATGCCATTCCTGAATAAAGCAGTACCTTATAAATCTTTGCATTGTACTCTGCTTTGTAGCAGAAGGCAGATTAAGACCGTTGGTATTGGGGAGGTGGCAGAGCTCTAGAAAGAAGATGAAAATTTGGAACTTGATGACTCTTTGATCTGGTGTCAATAAGATCATTGCTGGTGATAATTGGGGTGGTTGTAACCATCAAGGCTTTCAGTTGTTAATAATCGGAACAAAGGGCAGGTAGAAGGTGAGCCACTGGATCTGCAGTGGCTGAGGGCTTGGATGGTGTGGGGGAAATGATAATCATAAGAAATGTGAATGTGTTCTATTCTTTTTTGGAAAACTTGAAATGAGAACATGATAGGCTCGGGACAGCCAAACTGCTAACTCAAAGCACACTATAAAGCCAAAGAGCCTCTGGGACAGCTATGAAGGGTACTTTCATCTTCTGAAGCCATAGCACAGAATGCACTGAAAGTCAGGCTCATTTTAAGAGTGACGCCTCCATGCGGCATCCTTCCTCCAGAAGACTGGCCAGTCCCATGGTGGCAGGTCAATTAATTTGGATCCCTTCCACTAAGAAGGGAGAGAATTCCTTCTTACAGGAATCAACACCTACTCAAAATATGGGGCTTCCTTCCCTACCCGCTGTATTTTCACCATCACTGCTTAAGGACTTAAAAATACCTAACTTATTGTCATGGTAGCCCACACATTATTTTGGAACAAGGGATTCTTGTACAGCAAAGGAGCTACGAAAAAGTTGCATGATAACAGCTGCATTGTTCTTATCATAAACCCGATCACCCAGAAGAAGCAGTAGAATGCATTGTTAAAGGATTAGCTAAAAAGGTAGTGAGGGATCAACATCCCGTGACACTGAGGCACTGCCCACCAAAATACAGTCTGTTTGCTGGACCAAGAGTGCTCATAATAACTGGTATATATAAGCCTGGCAACCAAGGAGTAGAAATAGTGCTGGCTTTTCTCACCTTACCCCAATGATCTGCTTGTGGAATTTGTGATTTCTGTCCCCCTGACTGTAGGCTTTGCCAAGTCAGTGGTCATAGATCCTGAGAAAAAGAATGTTTCTCTTAGAGATACTAATGTTTCTGTTGAATTTTAGGCTTTAGCTACTTTCTGGTTGCTTTGGGATTCTTAAAATAGGGAACAGGCATAAACAAAAGAGTTACTAGATTGTTAGGGGCAGCAGACCCTGATTACCACAATGAGCTAAGGTTGTTCTACATAGTTGGGGGTGGGAAGAAGGTATATTTTGAATGCACAGGGTTCACCTTGGCACCTTGTGTTTCTGTACCCATGATAAGAATAAACTCTTGATAAACCTTGACTTTAAAAAAGTAGAACAATTGAAAACACAGATATGGAAGGGATAAGTGCCTTGGTCACCCCACCAGATAAGCCATCCAGATAAACTGAAGTGCTGACCAAAAGTGAGGGAAACTGATTATGGAGCCAGATATGATAAATACCGAAGATAATCTTGGCGCAAACTGTAGCAGTGTGGATGGTAGCTTTTTCACTAGGCTTCTTGGCTTACATCTTTTCAGATATTGTGTCTGTTCTTACTTTGAAGGGGATTCTATGATAGATGGGGTTTGTAATTCACCTTTCAAGGAAAAACAAAGCATCCTGTCCCTACTACAAATGGGAATTTCATACTGCAGTATTGGAGCTGGATAAAATGAAGAACGTACAATGAGACATGGTTTACATCACATCTTGGAAGATGATCACAAGACGGAGCAATCACTTGCCCTTTGGAGCTGTGAGCTCTGTAGTAAGTCCTTGTCACAGGCTGACCCTCCTTTCCTGCTCTGCTCTCCTAGTCCCTCACTTCTGCTCCTTGGGATTGCACTCGAAAATAACAAAGCAACTCAGTAAGATTTTGCTCTGTTTCTGCTTTTGTGGGAATGTAAACTGAGATATCTACTATATATTTTAATAATTTAATAATTTTATCAATAAAGTTTTATTATTTTAGCTTCAGACCGAAGAGTTTAAAATCATATTACTTATCAGTTGGGTGATGTTGGGCATGTGGCTTAACCTCTCTGAATTGTTGCTCCTTGAATAGGTTGTTGTAATATCAAGAAAAGTTGTGGTAATATCAAGAAAGGTTGTTGTAATATCAAGAAAATATCTTCAAAGCACGTTAGATATTTAATAAATGGTAATTATTATTGTTGTATTACAAATTCCTTCTTCATGGTTGAGCTAACAAGTAAAAAGGAGATTATTTCCCCAGATTACATGGAGGGTATGCTAGAATGCATCCAAATCTGTGGATCCACCAGGATAATTTCCTTTCTATGGTATCATCCTAGAAAAAGGAATCAATCACAACCATTCTATAAAGGTATAAGCATCTGAATTGACACCACCTGACGTTCCACAGAGAATTGTCTGGGCTCTACTGGCTGAGATGACCATGGATGGTGTCCTGGAAGAAGTGCCCCTTAGCTTTGTCCTTGAAAGCTGAATGGGTTTTTGTCTCTACCTTACTAGCTTATGTACATTTACTTCACTCAAGTCATTCATAATAATTACCTCTTACTACTTTTCTTTCATGGTTTTAAGATGAATCACAGATGCATATCCTAAGATAATCAGTAGAATGACAAGGTTTGGGCCTGAAAAATCATAAACTCTAAAAGGACTGGGTAGCTCTTCTTAAATAGCTGAAGGGCTAAGGAAGAAATATTCTGTCTTCCTGTATAGCTCCAAATGAGAGAACTGGGACCAGTAGATATACATTTAAGGGAGACATACTGTAGAGTTCCAATGACAAGACATTCAGTAAAAGGCAAAATAGTGAAAGGATCAGTAGTTGCCAGAGGTTGGGGAGGTGGATGGAGAGATAAATAAGCAGTGCTTAGAGATTTTTTAGAGCATTGAAACTATTTTTTATGATACTATATTAGTGGATACATGTCATTATACATTCGTCAAAACCCATAGAATGTAAAATACCAAGATGGAATCCTAATGTCAACTATAGACTATACATGATAATTATATGTCAATGCAGGCTCATCAATTGTAACAAATGTACCACTCTCATGGGGGATGTTGATGGTAGGAAAGGCTGGGGGAGTGGAGGGGGAGGAAATATACAGGAACTCTTTGTACTTTCTGCTCAATTTTTCTGTGACTATATATACATTTCATGTATGTATACATATATACACACATATATAAATAAGAAACAAAACAAAATATAATAACAAATTGAGAGTCAGAAGCATGTAAAAATGGAATGGGTTGCCTTTGTCAATAGTAAGGTTCCCACATTAGCATTTTTAAGCACAGAGTGACCAAGGGGCCAGGTATTTCACAGAGGAATGAGATGACCTTTGGTGTGTCTTCTCATCCTGAGACTCCAAGCCTCAAGATATCCAAAGATTCAATTTTATTTTCTAAATCAATTTAGCATCTCCCTGTTTTGTATTCATTGCCTGATTCCATTTGGATACTGTTTTTAATTATTCTGATAAATAGATGGCAACTGCCTCCTTGATTCCCCTACAGAAACTTGTTCTTCGTGATATATCAGGTGCACAGAAAACAAGAAAAACAAAGTTCTCAAGTAATGCCTAAGATGATAATTGGGTGATGATTGACTCTCAGGTTCAAAAATACATACACTTCACATACAGCAAGCTGGTGTTTAAGCAAAAGCCTTTTCATAAGAAGTGCAGATAAGAGCTGTTTGTTATTTCTTTAGAGTAAAAGGAAAAAACACCTTAATCATCGAAGGGAAGAAACCAACCTGATAGGCTAATGAGATGTTCAGCCTTGATAAAGGAGGATCCAGGAAGAAAGTATTGCCAAGATCAGGTTTTGCTGCATTGCCATGTTAGGAAGTCACGGAGCAAAGAGCAGAGGAGGAAAAGTTGAACTTCAGGTGCTCGGCAGGAATTATAGGGGGTGTGGACTATAAAACAGCATGGCAGCAATTCTGCTCCACGCTATTCTGCTCTAAGATCTTTTTTTTTTTTTTTTTTTTTTTTTTGAGACGGAGTCTTGCCCTGTCTCCCAGGCTGGAGTGCAGTGGCATGAACTCGGCACACTACAACATCTGCCTCCCGGGTCAAACAATTCTCCTGTCTCAGCCTCTTGAGTAGCTGGGACTACAGCTGCGTGCCACCATGCCCAGCTAATTTTTGTATTTTTAGTACAGACGGGGTTTCACTATGTTGGCCAGGCTGGTCTCAAACTCTTAACCTCAAGTGATCCGCACGCCTCAGCCTCTCAAAGTGCTGAGATTACAGGCGTGAGCAACCGTGCCTGGCCCAAGATCTTCTTAGGTAGGAGTGATCCTCAAGGTTTGCTATGTGGACTTGAACAAATCATTTATCTTTTTAGAATTTAGAATCATTCGCTATAAAATAAATCACAATAATGTCTTTATAATACTCTAATTAGACAATATTATTAGCCTGTTCTATTGCCTATAAGCTGAACATTAAAACCGGAAGTATTATCTATCTTCCTATTTTGAAATAGATTTTATTCTTGAAAATTTGCAGCCTTCACTAGTCACTAGTTTCTGCTCTTTGTCCCAAGAAAATAAGACATTCATCCTAGTAACCCATCAAACTTTGCTCTGGCTTACAGTAACTTTATTTTCTTGCATATGATCTTCAAAACAACTGCCCAGGATTCTCGTAAAAGATACCTGAAAGTAGTCATTAAGGCTTGGGTGGAATGGAAATGTCTCATTAAAACAATACTGCTGTCTTAATGACTGTAACACACAGGTTCAAGTAAGCATTAAGACTGTTGAAGATGCTGTACAAGACATAGCATAGAGAAAATGGTTATTTGTTAGAAGAATACCAGGAGTGAGATCTAAGGGGAAGAGATTGAGTCTTACCTGGCAGATGCAGACCTTCCTTAGTGACCTGCCACTGGTTTAAGCCGGCAATGGCTTTGTGGGTTTTATTTCAGAATCTCAGTGCCCAGCAGAAAAAGGCAATTTTTTTCCCAAGTAGATTTGGGGAATTATACACATGAGGCTGGTTATAGAAAGTATGAGTTGCATATAAAATTATCTGAGCACCTAAACATATCTTTGATTAGTTGGAAATTGCAATTATCTTGTAATAATACTTTAAAAGCAGCTTGTAAGAAAAAAATTGACCTTTTCTCTCCCATTTGAAAACACTTCTTTGAGATTAGCAGATAGTATTAGAGAAATATCTGCTTTTTCTGCATCTAATCCTTCAAAGACAGGATGGATGGATGTTTAGACAACTTCATCAAAGTAATTACAGGTCTCTTTGAAGAGTTGGGGTTATTTAGATGTTCTGAGCCAATTATAGGGCTCTCCTATTTTTCTTGGTTATACTACAAAATTCAAGTCAAATTTTCCACCTGAAAAATGCAGATGAATTGTTATATCTGGCAGTGGCAATAATATCTACTTCTCATGGGATGATCAGTGAATATTCAAATTACATATATAAAGCATTTTCGTAAACATCAAATAAAGTCTAATTTTATTATTCTTACCCATTCATTTGTTTCTTAAATGGGAAATACAGTTGGTAAAAATTACAAATTTCTTTCTTTTTCTGAAGCTGGCCAGGAGTCAATCATCATTGTGAAAACTTTGTTTTGTTAGACCCTAAATATGGTCTTTGTTTTGTTAGAATCTAAATATGGTCTATGTATTCTGTATTCTTATACAACAATGTTGAACCATGAAGAGAGACATCAACCCCTGCCCCAAGGAAAAATGAAAGGATGAATTGTAACAATGTGGTCTTAATATGTTAGAGTCAACTCTCATTGTGAAATCTGTTTTGTTAGACCATATTTAGGTTTCACAATGAGGATTGACTCTAACATAATTAGACCACATTGTTACAATTTATCCTTCCGTTTCTCTTTGGGGCAGGGGTTGATGTCTCTCTTCATGGTTTAACATTGTTGACTACGAATACGGAATATATAGATTTCTCTACATATCATCTATAATCGAAAGTGGTTATTCATTGATGAAATTATTTTACTCACCACAGCAGTCTCAGCTGTGTTTTCCAATATAGCTGCCAATTATCTTACAGATTCTATGGACACTCTGATGTTGTCTAGACAAGAATGTGAAATCATGTATATACTTTTTGTAGCTCAAATGTACTTAGAAATTAGTGTCATAGTAAAAAAAAATAAAAATCAGAAATTGAATTAAAGAAACTGAGACCTACTCACTAATTAGTTCCTATATTTTCTTACCTAGCATTAGTTTAACCCTTCTGTAAACCAGGACTGTGAATTATATTGCCTATCATTTTAGTTGTCCCTATCAGATTATCTGGTCCATCCTTCTCACCCTTATTATTATGTTGTAATCAACAAGGAAATAAAAACTCAGGAAGTTGAAGTTATCTGCCCAAATATATACAGGTGTGTGTATGTGTGTGGGTTTGTGTGTGTATATGTGCATGCACGCATGTGCGTGTGTGTGTGTGTGTGTGTGTGTGTTTGGCAGAGCCAAGAATCTTACCTAGATTTAGTTTCAAGGTCAACACATTGGTTAACTTTTCTTGTTGATCTCTGCCTATCTTTTGAAATGTTAAATAGATGAGATTATATACCTCCTAGATTATCAGAAAGAAGCTAGTAAAAATAGATGTTTCATCCTTAAAAACTGAAGGCTAAGAGTTGATCACAGTAAGTCACCTTCAGGCGTGGAGCAGTGTATGAAGAAGTTATCATCAGCACCTAGTGTCATCTCCCTGTAACTCTTCCCCTGAACTACCTAAGGTCATACCCCTCTCAATGCAATTTCTGCTTGATATGGTTTATTATTTATTAAGAGCAACTTAATGTGGCTCCCACAGCTCTCTCAGCCTAGAGGACTGAAACCCCCAAATTAGATCTCTGAAACGATGCCACCAAGCTGAACCCATTTAATTTTGTCTGGTTCTATTCATTTGCATAATGAGTATTGAGTTTATTTATAGCTCTATGAGAACACTCCATATTAGCTAGTGGCAAAATAAAACTCTTTTATCACCAGGATTTGTAAGTAGCATTCACCCAAAATAACTGAAGAAAATATTTAAATTGTGAATTAAACTAAAGATAAGTCTATATGTATATTTTCAAAGTTAAACAAAAAATTTGAAATAAGGAATAATTTGTTATTTAGTATAATTTAGTAATAAAATGAAACAGAGGAGAATTGGGGAAGATGGGTGATTAAATATGTGTTTCTCATCTGCACTTTTTGTCATCTTCCTGCTTGACACTTGAACTCCTAAAATAATTAGAACTGGCTGTAGTTGCCTAGTGGAGTACCAGACATACAGGTCAAAACACTCATAAAAACAAATAGAGGCCGAGTGTGGTGGCTCATGCCTGTAATCCCACCACTTTGGGAGACCCAGGCAGGCAGATCACTTGGAGCCTAGGAGTTTGAAACCAGCCTGAGCAACAGGTGATACCAGGTCTCTACAAAAAATACAAAAATTAGCCAGGCATGGTGGCCCATGCCTGTAGTCCAAGCTACTTGGGAGGCTGAGGTGGGAGAATCGCTTCAGCCCAAGAGGTCAAGGCTGCAGTAAGCTGTGATTGGCCCACTGCACTCCAGCCTGGGCAACAGAGTGAGACCCTGTCTCAAAAAATAAAAAAGAAAGAAAGAAAGAAAAAAAGCAGATGAAGTTTAAATTTTATATGTATTAAGAAGGCATCAAAAACCTGCAGGAGCACATAATATAGAGTTAAGCCAAATACCTATGACCATACACTTAATGATTCTATTAATATAAAGTTCTAAATAGGCAAATTTACGGTGATAGAATTCATAATGGGGTATATTACTTATGTATCATCACTGCATAACAAATTACAACAAATGTAGAGGCTTAAAACAACACATTCATTATTTATTTCATGATTTCTGTGGGTTAGGAGGTCAGGCATGGTTTAGCTGGGTCCTCGGTGTAGGATCTCACAAAGCAGAGATCAAAGTGTCTGCTCAGTTGAATTGTCACATGCAGGTTTGGCTGAGAATTTCTTTCCAAATGTACCCAGGATGTTGGCAGAATTCATTTCCTTGGCATTGTAGGATCGAGATATCCCAATTCTTGCTGACTGTTAACCTGAAGCTGCCCGCAGGTCCTAGAGGCTTCCTGGAGTTCCTGCCCTCAATTCCTGACCCTGTGGTTTCCTCAACATGATCACTTACATCATCAAGCCAATAATAAGTGTCTGCAGAGCCAATTTGCTAGCAAATGAAGTCATATATAACATAATTTAAGCTCGAGTGACATCTCATCACCTTTATTGTGTTCTTTTGGTTAGAAACAAATCACAAGGCCTACCCATACTCAGTAGGATGGGTTTATACAAAGGCATGAATACAAGAAGAGTTATTGTTAGGTATATTAGTCTGCTTTCACACTACTGATAAAGACATACCCGAGACTGGGAATAAAAAAAGGTTTAATTAATTGGACTTACAGTTCCACATGGCTGGGGAGGCCTCAGAATCATGGCAGAAGGCAAAAGGCACTGCCTACATGGCAGCAGCAAGAGAGAATGAGGAAGAAGCAGCAAAAGCGGAAACCCCTGATAAACCCATCAGATCTCATGAAACTTACTCATTATCCTGAGACTAGCACGAGAAATACCAGCGCCTATGATTCAGTTACCTCCCCCTTGGTTCCTCCCACAACACATGGGAATTCTGGAAGATACAATTCAAATTGAGATTTTAGTGGGGACACAGCCAAACCGTATTAGTAGGGCTTCGGGGGAAGCCCCTAAAAGTCTTTCTGCCTTGTATGTATACAAAGTTGTACAGGGGGAAATTACTGAAATGGGGCACAAGGGAGGTTTTTGAAACTGAATATATAGCATTTCTTTTGGTGGTGGTTACAGCAGGATGGTCACTTCGTAATAGTTTAGCTAACTATGATTTTATTTTTACCCCTTAATAATGTTATGTTTTAATTAAACGTGTGTTTAAAATAAACGAAATGTATATGCACGCATTCATTTATAATATATATTTTGTATTTACTATAAATATGGTAATACATTATGTAAGTGCAAAAATAGAAACTGGCTTTATTAATAATAATGTTTCATTCAATGCTAACTCCATTATTTAATAATAAAGGAATAGCTTTCTTTTCCAATGTATACAACCTATAGTAATAGACTAGTCATTACCTTCTAGTACCAAACCTCAAAGAAGGGAAATACATAAAGGAAGATATTTTACAGAATTTGATACATCCAGTAGTCAAAAGTCAAAATTTGAAATATAATCAAGTATTTTCACAGAGATCATCACATGTATACATATTCTTTTCTTAAATTGATGAAATATTCACTGAAAAGCCCACTAATATAATTAATTAGTAACAGAAAATCTAAACTTCCAAATATTTGGTACTTTATAGGATGAATTCTTTTATCATAGTCAAATCAGATTACATAACAACAAAGAAACAAACATATAACAAGAAAACAAAATTATACCCCTTCAAAGGTAAGAAACAATATTATAAATATTTCCTAATTCAAGTGATGTTATACCTAGAATTATAAATTATCTAGATGTGAATCAAAGTAATAAATCATAGCAAAATATGAGTTTAAGCTAAAGCTGTACTCAGAGAAACACTTGTACCTCTAAATATTTTTAAATTTAAAAAATAAACTTGTGAATAAATTATTTATTTCAAGAACCTAGTAAAGTAAAAATAAAAATGAACCAAAATATTGAGAGGAATGTTTTAATAAAGATAAAAATAGAAATCAATGAAATAAGAAAGTGGAGAAATTACATCTAATCCAATAAATAGCTACTTTTCAAAACATTGGTTGGTTTGATTAAAGAAAAGAAATAAATACATCCAAAATTAAGAATGAAAAGTATTAACCTGATTTCTGTAAAAATTATAGAAAGTTAAAAAATACCATTGTGTAGAACTCTTTGAAAACATATTGAAACTATGAAAAATAGATAATTTTGTAACAAAATATAAATAATACTTTGAGAAAGTTATAAAGCCTGAACAGAAAAATGATCAAAGGAAAGTTTTCGAAATTTGTTAAATAAATGTAACTGAATTTTATTTATTTATTTTGAGACAGACTCTCACTCTGTTACCCAGGCTGGAGTGCAATGGCGGGATCTTGACTCAATGCAACCTCTGCCTCCTGGGTTCAGGCAATTCTCATGCCTCATTAAATACAAAAATTAGCCCGCCGTGGTGGCGGGTGCCTGTAATCCCAGCTACTGGGGAGGCTGAGGCAGGAGAATTGCTTGAACTTGGGAGCTGGAGGTTGCAGTGAGCCGAGATCACGCAATTGCACTCCAACCTGGGTGACAAGAGCGAAATTCCGTCTCAAAAAAAAAAGTGCAAACCTCAGATGAGTTTGTTAGTTCCTCAGGAGTTACATAAAAATTTAGTTAAAACTGATTAATAATTCTTATAGGTCCATACCAAAGAAAAGTCCAATTAATTTTGTGGGTTAGCATAAATTTTCTTAACCAAACCTAAAATAGATGATAGTACAAACACCACAGACAAAACTCATTTATAAATATAGGTGTGAAAATCCAAGATAAAATATCAATAAATCATATGTCAGAATAAGATACTTCTCAGCAAGTTGGGGTTATTCTAGGAGTGCCAAAAATATTCAGTGTTAATCTATCAAAATGTGAACACTGTCTTTAAAGTAAAAAGTAACATCCACAAAATATTAAATGAGACATATATTAATGTAAAAGAACAAAAATGCAATCTAAGTAAAATTCAATGAAAGTAAAATACAAATAGTACGAAACTACCTATATATGATCCTATTTATCAACCCCAAACTGATAGCAAGCATCATCTTAAAAAGCTAAATGTTGAAGTCATTTTCACTGAAATCTGGATCCAAACAGGTATGATCGATATCGCCACTATTAATCAGTACTTTAACAAATGTTTATCCAATTAATAGAATTCAAAATATTTCATAACATGAAAAAAATACAATTAACTTTGAAGAATTGATTACATGCTTGTATTTTAGAAAAATCCAAGTGAATCCAATATACAGGAATTAATAAGTTAATTAGATGTTTGATTATAAATCTAGAAATTCCAAAAGTTTTCTTTATTCAAAAGTAATGTCAAGAATGAAAATGAAAAAGAGTATTTATAATAATGACCACAAAAATATAAAATACTTAAAAATAAATTTAATAAGATAGATAGATATACATATATATATAGGCACCTAATATAAAATCTAAAAAAGTTATAGAAGAGCATAAAATAAGATCTTGATAAGTAGAGTAACAGATCATTTTACTACATGATATCAATTAACATGAAAATGTTGTTTCCTACCAAATATATTAAGCATCAGATTATTTAATTATACTTTTAAAAATATACTTTGAATCATATCACCAGCTGACAGACATTTTTTGGAAAGAAAAGAAAATGTAGGCCCACATGTAATTTCATATAGAAGAATAAATATATGGAAATAATTAAGAAAAGGAACAAAAATGTGGTCAATAGTGATGAAGCATTTATATCTACCTCACATTAGAAAGTCCCTTTCATGTTAATGGTGTGTGATTAGAATAAGGATAGGGAAGTGGATAAGCAGAAGAAAACAGAAAGTTGAGGAAACATTTTTATTTAATAAAGTAATTTAATATAGGTAAAAGATGGCCATTAAATTTAGTGGAAAAGGGATCGATTATTTAATCTAGAATAACTAGATACTTTCCATTTATCCCGCTGTATTGCTGCTATAAGTCACATATGTAATTTCAAACTGGTAGCCACAATTAAAAAGTAAAAAGAGGCCGGGCATGGTGGCTCATGCCTGTAATCCCAGCCCTTTGGGAGGCCGAGGCCGGTGGATCATGACGTCAAGAGATCCAGAGGATCATGACGTCAAGAGATCCAGACCATCTGGCCATCATGGTGAAACCCCCTCTCTACTAAAAAAAAAATACAAAAATTAGCTGGGCGTGGTGGCGGGCACCTGTAGTCCCAGCTACTCGGGAGGCTGAGGCAGGGTAATCGCTTGAACCCAGGAGGAAGAGGCTGCAGTGAGCCAAGATCATGCCACTGCACTCTAGCCTGGCAACAGAGTGAGACTCCATCTAAAAAAAAAAAAAAAAAAGTAATATATTACCATTTCAGTGCAATGAATATAAACAATTATAAATGAGTATTGCATATTCATTTTCTTTGTTTTTCCTACTAATTCTTTGAAATCCAGTACTTATTTCATACATACAGAACATCTCCAGACTGGCCACATTTCAAATACTCAGTAGCTGCCTGTAACTAATGCCTGCCATATTGGATCCTGTCTCTAACCCTCACCATTCACTGAGACCAAAGGTGTGGACTACCTTGATCAGTCCCCTTGTTATCTGGTTTCTTATTGAATTCAGCCTAAGACAGACAACAAAGAGATGGACTTAGAGAGTAAAAGCAGAGTGATGTTGTGTATATATTCCTCCATGTACCTCTCTGTTGGACTGTGAGTTTGTTTCATTGCTCTCCTGGGGCAATAAATTCATTTAATGGCCTTCTCCTGCAAGGTCCTGATAACACATCTCTCCTCCTCTTACCTCTCCAAGTCTAATGAAGGAGAAGGATGCTTCACTGTTTCTTGGTTTCCCTCAACCTTGCCCTCTTCCTTATAAATTATCCTTTTATTAAGTTGTCTACTTTTACCCTGTTTGATATTTTTCATACCAGGATCCTGGTTGATGTAACTATTCCATTAGAAGAATATAAAAGTATACCTCATCTCATATCACATGCAACACACACACACACACACACACACACACACACTAGATGAGTTATAGCTTTAAATATAATATATAAAAGACAAAACTTTTGAAGAAAATATTTGTATAATTTTGTGGAGAGGGGCAAAAAGCCAAGAAGCCATAAAGTAATAAGTAAAACAAACAACTCCGATGGATTAGATGACATTGTAATTAAAATTTTTATATGGCTAAATTTGGGCTCATGCTTGTAATCCCAGCACTTTGGGAGGCTGAGGCGGGCGGATCACGAGGTCAGGAGATCGAGACCATCCTTGCTAACATGGTGAAACCCTGTCTCTACTAAAAATACAAAAAAAAAAAAAAAAAAAATTAGCCGGGTGTGGTGGCGGGCCCCTGTAGTCCCAGCTACTCGGGAGGCTGAGGCAGGAGAATGGCGTGAACTCGGGAAGAGGCGAGATTGCGCCACTGCACTCCAGCCTGGGCGACAGAGCGAGACTCTGTCTCAAAAAAAAAAAAAAATTATCAAAAATAGTCAAAAGGAAAAAAAAGACAGAAGAAAATATTGACATCACAAAAAATGGGCAAAATGTTAATTTCTTTAATATAAAAAGATCTATAAATTGTTTTTAAAAAACAACAGAAGGAAAATGGACAATAAATTTGAGTAGGAAATTCACAAGAAATTAAATGCAAACATCAAACAACCCCATGAAAAGACATCCAACTTCACTAGTAGATAGATAATTGCAAATTAAAACAATAATATACCATTTTTTTAAATTCACAAAATGGAAAGGATTATTTTCAGTTGGTGCTAAAAAAAAAAAAAACCTTAGGAATAGCTGCATTCTCATAGACTACTGATGTGAGTGTAAATTTAAACAACCATTTACTGTCCTTCTTGGATAGTAAACCCCGTGATTACTCGCCATAATGAAGTAAACGTATAAGTTAATCTTATCAAAAAAGGAAAATAATAAAGGAAAAACACATGCATTTATATGTATATAGAAAACTATTATGAATGGATAGGTAGAATATTAAACAATTATATCAACAAGTTGGAACTGAAGAGGGAGAAGTCACAGTATTACAGTTATGTAGAGAAAAATACATAATTGTTCATTACAAAGAGCAAATACTTTGAAATAAGAATAAAGAACAACAAAGGAAAACTATACAAAACATTATTTAATCTTTAAAAAATATAACAACAATGTTCTGTTAACATCCTAAAGTTAGATTCTGGCTTCAATCTGGGTACCTGAATGTTGCAAAAAGAGAAGGTTTCCACTCATACAAAACCAGATTCCTATAAGACTGACCTACTATCAGACCTTCTGTGCCTAGAGATCAGTTACCAATTTAGCTCCTTATGATCATTGTGTATTTATGAATTCATTAACTAATATTAATATAATTATTTGAAAAACGTATTTGACAGTTTTGGCAATAGATCTGTCCAAGTTTAATTCAGGAAAAAAAGTCTGCATTGGGAAGTGTGAGTTTCTATATCAACATTTTTTTCTATATTAGGGGTACATAGTCAGTTTTATACATCTTAACCTAAAATGGTTTTGTAGCACCTGAGGAAGTTGAATGAAATCTATGTCATGTGTTATTAGAATTTTAATATTTAGTAATCCCTATTCTTGTTCTTAGCTATTCTTTAGTAAAGATTTTACTATTTTATTGTAAATGATAATTTCTTTGTTAATTTGTTTTCTCTGCAGATATATGTACTTAATCTGATTTTATAGTATTATTGGTATAGAGAGTTTATGAGGGCAAGAAAGAAAACTACAAATTCCTGCTATTCTAAAATAAATGTCTGTTGGAAAATGGCCAACAGGTACATGAAAAAGTGCTCAACAGCATTAGTCGTCAGGAAAATACAAATCAAGACCATAATGAGATCTCTCTCACTTCTTAGGATGGCTATATCAAAAGGACAAGAGAAAAGTGTTAGGAGGATTTGAAGAAAAGGGGATCTGTGTACATTGTTTGTGGAAATAACAATTAATACAGCAATTATGGAAAACAGTATGTTTGTTCCTCAAAAAAAAATTAAAAATAGAACTATTGCATGATTCAGCAATCCTACTTCTGGGTATATTTTCAAAGAAAGTGAGATCACTATTCGGAAAAGTTATCCTTATCCCTATGTTTATTGCAGCATTATCCACAATAGCCAAGATATGAAAATAACTTAAGTAGTTGTTCATTGTTAAATAGATTTTTAAAATGTGATAGCCATACACACTGGAATATTATTCATTTTTTAAAAATAAGGAAACCTGACATTTGTGACAACATGGAAGAGTCTGGAACACATCATGCTAAGTGAAATACCCCAGAGGCAGAAAGATAATTACTTAATAGTCTCACTTACATGTGGAATGTACTCTCAGAGACACAGAGAAAGAAAAATGTTACCAGGGATTGAGGACCATAAGAAATGGAAAGATGTTAGTCAAAAGTACAAGCTTTCAGCTTTAAGAGGAGTAAGTTCTGGAGACCTAAAGTACAACATGGTGACAATAGCAAATAGTAAAGTAGTGTATTCATGATATTTGTTAGGAAAGTAGATCTTAAATATACCTACCACAAAAAACAAAATGATAGCTATGTGAGGGGGCAGATATGTTAATTAGCTTGATGGTGGTAATCACAATGTTTATACATATCAAAATATCACATTGTACACAGTAAATAATACAATTTTTATTTGTCAATTATACCTTAGTAAAGCTTGGGGGGAAAAAAGAGATGCCTCCATTTGGAACTCAAGATGAAAAAAAATTAAAGTTCTTGAATATAACCAAAAGCAAATAAATAAATACAAACAATCAAAATGTGCTGCCAAACAAAACTTACCCTCTGTATTTGTTAGGGCTCTCTCTTGCTCTCTCTCTTGCTCTCTCTCTCTCTCTCTTCTCTCTCTCTCTTCTCTCTCTCTCCTTCTCTCTTTCTCCTTCTCTCTATGTATATAGATAGATACCTCCAATATCTATCTATCTATCTATCTGTCTCTATCTATCTATCTGTCTCTATCTATCTATCTATCTATCTATCTATCTATCTATCTATCTATTGAGAGATACTATGCTATTATGCAAACTGAGGAACTAGCAAAGACAGTGGAGTCATTCAGTCCAAGTCTGAAGGCCTGAGGACCAGAAAAGCCAATACTATAACTACCATTCTTATTCCAAAGTTATGAAAACAAGGGGTGAGTGGCAGTGGTGTAAGTCCCACAGGCCAAAGCCACAAGAATAAGAGTTCTGATATCTAAGGATGGGAGAAAATAGATGATCTAGCTCAAAAAGAGAGAGAGAGAGAGAGAAAGAGGAAGTGGAAGTCACCTTTTCTCTCTTTGTTTTATTTGGGCTCTCAATAGATTGGATGATGCCCACTCACACTGATGAGGCTGGACCTTCTCAGCCTACTGATTCAAATACTAGTATCTCCAGGAAATATCCTCACAGATACATCTAGAAACAATATTTTACCAGGTACAGCTATCTGGGCATTCCTTAGCCCAGGCAAGTTGATACATAATATTAACCACCACATGCTCTAAATCCAAAATCCTAATATAACAAGTCTATAGTTGGCAATTCTGACGGACTGTTGTCTGGGAGACTACCAAACTTAACATAAATTTATTTTGCTAGGAATCTATGAAAAATCTTTGTAGGTAACAATATGTCTTTTTAGTCCTGCAATTTTCACTTCCTGGCAAGTCCTACCCAATTCTAACCATACCAAATATTTTTTCTACCCAGTCCTTGTTTAAATTCCACATTTTCCCTAATGATTTTCTTAATTACAGTGATTGGAAAATAAATTTATTTTCTCTTATCTAATACTGCCATATAATTTTGTTAAGTGTCATGAGTTTTAGGATTCTTAATACATTATAAACTTCCAGTTAGTCGAAATTTGCACAGGACATCTTTTTTCATAAGAAAAATATTGAATATCAAAAGATCTTTTATCCTTTTTACACCATGTTAAAGTAATTCCTTAAAAGATTTCAATATGGATGTTTTGGAGAATTGCAGGTACAGCCCAAGTTTCATAACAGAAACTAGTTCATGAGTTAGAGGGAAAACAAAAGGCAGTCCACTGGTTCTATATCTATTTTATAATACTTTAGAGACCAGAGAATATTGGAATCAGGAGATTTATAAAACACTAGCCCTCCAGGTTTCCAGTGTTTGGTTTTCCAGATGGTACATTGCATATTGTGGTTATTCATACAATACAGAGAAGATTAATCCAAAGAGCAAAACATGTAAGTGTCTTTTTAAATCATTACTTTAATACTCTACTCTCCTTTCTCCACCTCCAAAGATTTGGATAAAATATTTTTCCACATTGGCAGTATTTTTCTTTGGAATGCAAATTCCTAGTGTGGACCAATCCTATAATTATTCAGGCCAGACATCTCTAAAATGGTAAACATAAGCTGAAGGTTTACCTGTAAATTTGTGGTATGTATTCAAACTCACTGATGATTTTAGATAAATATAAGTAGAGAACCTAAATGAAAATATTTACTTACCTTAGGGAAATAAAGCTTGGAAAGCTGGTATCAACTTTCCTTCTGTCATATAAACCTTGCTTATCCCTACTTCTGACCATTTACTCATGCACTTCCATGCAAAACTTTCCTCTTCTCAGCTCCTTTTTATGAGTTTATATTTAGTGGTTACTTTAAGTTCTGTCTCAAAACTAGTTTCCTCCAAGTTACTGTTCAAGATTTTCCTACTCTGAAAATTTCTTTACCTAGATTTCTGTTTAGTACATATCTAACCATTGTCGTATAATTTTCTTATCATGTATATGTTCTAACTTGCTAATATGTTATTTTGCCATTATTCTTGAATGGGATTGTCTTTTTTACTTGGAATATAAGCTTCTTAATATCAGAAACTTTGTTTCAAGCTTGTCTAACCTGCAGCTGAAGGGCCACGTGTAGCCCAGCATGGCTTTTAATGCAGCCCAACACAACTTTGTGAACTTTCTTAAAACATCATGATTTTTTTTTTTGCATTTTTTTTCTAGCTCATCAGCTATCATTAGTGTTCATGTATTTTATGTGTGACCCAAGACAATTCTTCTTCCAATGTGACCCAGGAAAGGCAAAAGATTGGACACTCCTGCTTTATTCCATTAATCTTCTACTTAGGGGTTAAATATTGATGGTGGAAAAACACATCATTAATATATTAAATGAGAGAGTTAAAATAAAAAACATTAGAAAATACTGAAATCCTGGACTTGGTCTGGTGAGGTGAAATTTTGATAATTGTATTATCTTTTGGTTCACAGAAACTAGAGCCCAAATGCATAATAGAGAGATATTGTAGCATAGAATTATATGTGAAAAGGCCAGTGTTCTATTTGGCTCTAAACTAAGTCATTGGAAATCAAATCTGCAAGTTATAGAAATGATACCTATTGAGAATGGTTGGAGTTCATGATACAAAAGCTGAAGGAAGGCTCATGAGATAGCTAAAGTACATAAAAGTCAGTTCATGAAAGCCTTGCATGTCATCATTTTTAGGCCAAGATTTATTGAGCACTGAACAGATGACAGACACTGAAAATCATCAATTTCAATCCTTGCACTATCCCTAAGATATAGGTGGTCTTATTCACACATTATAAATGCAAAACCTAAGCCTTAGGGAAGTAGAATAGCTAAAAATAAGTAGAGAAGTTTGTATTGGTTATTTGCTATGAAGTTGCAAATAACCAAAAAGAGAATAGTCAATGAAACAATTTATCCAAAAGAGTGATAGTGTCAGATGTAGTTATAAGACAGAGGGAAACTTTCTTGATTTTCTATAAAAAATAGTAATCATGAGAGGCGGGAGAGCTGTATGCAATTTGGAGGGGGCAGGATAAAATTTGAGATTTTGGTAACCTCTCTACTTACCTATTTGAGAATCACTGTTTCACAAACATTTGTTGACAGCAACATGGAGGGGGGACTTCTATTATGCCCACTTCAATTTAATATTCCAAGAAAGAGAATGTTTGGTCTGTTCTCTGCATGGTCTGTTCTCTACTTTTAATACATCATTTATTTGCAAGACACTAATTAAGATAAATTGATAAAGTGCCTGTTACTCAGGGTCAAGCAATTAGGATGGTGAAGGCAAAAAATCAATTTATAATGAAAAAGAAATCTGGCTATGTATTTAAAGAAGATAATATTCGTGCAGTGGAGGAAATATGCATTTTGCGTGATTACAAAATAAAACTTTTTCAGGGTTCAGCTTGAGATAAGCAATTTTTCGTAATCATCTTCTACATTGGAATGGATTGTCATTGAAATAGGTGAATTTCTAATTACTGAAGGTTTTAAAACATGCTATGCAACCTCTCATCAGAGGCATTATTCTCTCCCAGTTTTTCCATTGGATATGTGAAATTCTTTAACACCAGTATTTTCTGTGTTCCAAGCCTACTCAAACCAGCTTAATTTACAAGGGAATTCATTAGCTTATGTAAATGGAAGTCAGGAGATAGGGCAAGCTTCAGGAATAGTTAAGACCCAGAGGGTTATCTATCCTTGACACCAGAGGTATAGTTTCATTTCTCAGGCTGGCTTTCCTCATGTTGACTGCAGGTTGGCATTGCTCTTGAGTTACATGCATCTTAGTTCATATTTAGACAAAAGAAATGTTTGTTTCAATAAATTTACCACATTCAGTTTCATATCTATCCCTGATAGTTACAATGGCGGAGGTCTGCGTTATAAGCCCATCCCTGACCCAAAACTGTCAGAAATAGATTGTGAATATATTGATAAATTTGGCGTATTCCCCTGAGCAAGAGTTTTCAAACTCTGGCATCCTAAGAATCACCTGTATTGCTTGTTAAAACACAGATTCCTGGGCCCCACATCCAGAGTTTCTGATTCAGCTGGTGTGAGATCCAATGATTTATATATTTTTCTTTTATTGCATATGTTTATTGTATGCAACATGACATTTTGAAACATGTATACATTATAAAATAGCTAAACTGAGTAATTAACATGTGCATTCCTTCACATAAGATTTACATTTAACACCTGCCCAGGTAATGATGATGATTAACCACTGCCTAGGCCTCATCTCAGAATAATTAAATGGGAATCTCTGAGGATGGAACCCAAGCATCTGTATCTTTTAAATGTGCCTACAGATGGCCTGGAAATCCTGTTAAAATGCGTATTCTGATTCAGTAAGTCTGGAGAGGGGCTTGAGATTCTGAATTGCTAATAAACTCTCAGATGATACTGATGCTTCCAATTTGAGGTACTGACTTTGAACAACAAAAACTCGACAACATTCTGGTTGAATTAATCTGAGGAAGACCCAGGTGTTTCCAGTGGGTGGACGTAGCTGAGAATCATTTTCTGATGTCATCAGGACCCAGGAATTAAAACTCAATGCAAGAGAAAGAGGAGGAGTGGGTTTCTTCTGGAAAGACAGTCCCTTTGCCAGACAGTGGGTAATTGGATTGGTTGGGTGATCTTTAAGGTATGTTGTAACTTTTGGCTTCCAGGAATTGTCTTGAGTTCCTTTGTGTTAGCCCACAAAAAACAGAACTTTGCTTCAGAATCAATTTATAGTTGAAAAATCAACTTAAATATAAATATTTGTTTTGTTTTGTCAACTCAAAAGGAATCTGAAATCATAAAAATCTTCCATTACTGGGCTCCAAGTCATCGTGTTTTAAGTCACCAGCATCTTAATCTTTCCTTAGAACCTTGCACTTAGACAGCTGTCATAATGGAAAAAAAGGAAAAAACATTTTCACATGCCACACAGAATTTGGATAAGCACATCAGTGATTTTTTTCCTAACTCATCTGCAGTGTTTAGTTTACCTTGCCAATGTGTGTTGCTTACTAATAGCTGCTGATCAGAGCTGAATGAATAGATTTGTTTATAGGAAAGATTTGCATGATTGAGAATCAATAAGGCATGTTTAAATCCTCAGGTGATATGAAGAGAGGAAATAGGACAGATTAAGCTGGTGAGTGTTTACAGTTTAATTGTGAGCAGACAGGTGAAAAAAATCTACTTTGGGAGAAAAAGGAAAAAGAAAAAGTTCTATGATGTCAAGGGTGAAAATATCAGAAAAATGTAAATACAGGAATCTGGATATTTTAGGCCTATGCCTTAGCCCACATTCATTAAAACTGATTTGAGCTAGTGGTCCATCTGTCCATTATTAATGAGAGAGAATGGCTTCAGCAAATAACTCATTAAATATGCACTGTTTGGCCCAATGTGAAGTGATATATCTAAATGGCATTTGTAAATGCTTATGTGAAACTACTTTTAGAAATGTCTTAAACCACAAATAAAAATAAAGAGATAGGAAGAAGAGACATTTTTCTGTGGATGCTTTTGTTGTTACAGGTACCCATTCTCTTTAATTCTGAAGCCTGGTTGGTGGAATTGAGATGAATTTGTTAGGGTCATATTTTAAACCTCAGGTAGCACTTCCCCCAGCTATCCACTATCTTTCCATGGCATATTTTATAGTTTAGATCTGCAGGGTAAGCCTCATAAAAATTACAAATTTTATCACCCCACATTAAAGTGACTGGTATGACGAGCTGTATGAGTTAAGAGCATGGCTAATTATCTACCTCTTAGCATTTGCAAGGTCAGTGCATCAACCGCTAAGAAGGTCAGTACTGGGTGAAGGGCTGACAAGAACTTGGGAGGTTTTGTGAAAAGATCAATGACCTTCATTTGTCTTAGGAGGCAAAACAGGCTGAAACAATTCCAGCAGAGGGCAGCAGTACCTACATCAGCATGGCACTGTGTCAGAGGCCCTAGCAGATGGCAATAATGATAGTTGTAGCAATAACAACAATTACCAATAGGGTTTATTACTCTATGTCAGGCTTTTTATATGTATTCTTCCATTCAATTTTCAAAACAACCACATAAGGTTTTTATTGTACTCATTTTACTAACAAAGAAGCAGGCTTTGATTTTAAGTAGTATACCTGAATGAGTTGACCAGATGTATATAATAGAAGTATGACTTTTGAATCAAGGACTGGCAGGCAGGTCAGCACTCCAGAAAACGATGGGTACTACAACTACTATAATTCATAGTGTTCTGACCATGGTCAATGTGACTTCCTCCAACTGTATTCTTACAACACTAACATTCCTGTTAAGATGTTACTGAGTGTTCTTCGTGTGTGTGTGTGTGTGTGTGTGTGTGTGTGTGTTTGTGGTGGGGTGGTGGTGGTGGGGTACCTACATGGGAAAGAGTTGGATAGGATTTATGACAATGTCGAGTTATATAATTTTTAGCAAGTTTATCTCTTGTATTACTTTTGCAAGGAGAGATACAATAGGGAACATGATCAATATATTACAGAATATTATCTCCAGTGGAACACAATTTATAAAGAGCTGAACGAGAAAAAGAATACAAGATCAACAGTTAAAAACCTAGTGTGTTAGTCTATTTGGGCTGCAGTAACAGAATACTACAGACTAGGTGCTTATAAACAACATACTTTTTTTTTTTTTACATTTCTGGAGGCCAGAAAGTTCAAGATCAAGGCACTGTCAGACTTAGCGTCTGGTGAGGGCTCACTTCCTGGTTCATAGTTGTCCATCTTCTCACTGTGTCCTCACATGGCAGAAGGCATGAAGCAGCAATCTATAGCAAGATTGATTTTATATGTATATAAGAAAAGAAAGCAAAAAATATCAGACTCATTGGTGAATTTAGTGGATCAAGCCATAAGAAAAAGTAAGAATGCAGACTTCTAGAAGATAATAAGTAATATATGGCAATTAAATAGTTGAGCCTCAACTTGCTTCTAAACTTCTTTATAGCTAAAGAGTCTCAAATTTAAGTGTCTTCACCTAGTGACTTTGCCTTGTCACTTGGAATTGAAAGTTTGTTTTCAAAGTAGAAAACAAAAACCAAAGAATAGGAATAAACTATATTTTTAGGGGAAATAAGAGAAGAAACTGCAGAAGTTTAGAGAAACTTAGGAAACAGAGCCAGAGGATTCTGTTTGATCAAAAATATACATTTTAAACTCCTGGATTTAGAGACCTTACTTGAAATGTATACCTCTTCTTCTCTCCAACACTGTATCTATGCAATTCCCTACTTTGATATGAATTGTAATCATAAAAATGATATTATAGTATTTGTTCTTCCCCTGTGGGTCTAAGATATGTCTGCCAACTAAGATTTGCAGAATATAAAAACAAAAGAAAAATAATATCTGGATGACAACATCAGAGCACATGGTTTAAATGGGAATTTGTTTACTTTGGAGATGGACCAAAAACAACATCATAGAAACCCTTAAACCATCAGGAATAGAAGAGCCTCACATCTGGCATCTTTTCTACTAAAACAGAAAAGTATTTTTTTTTGACTAAGATGTTGCCCCCCTTGGCTGGGTGCAGTGGTTCACGCCTGTAATCCCAGCACTTTGGGAGGCCGAGGCGGGTGGATCACAAGGTCAGGAGATCGAGACCAGCCTGGCTAACACAGCGAAACCTTCTCTCTACTAAAAATACAAAAAATTAGCTGGGCATAGTGGCACATGCCTGTAGTCCCAGCTACTCAGGAGGCTGAGGAAGGAGAATCACTTTAATCCGGGAGGCAGAGGTTGCTGTGAGCTGAGATGGCACCACTGCACTCCAGCCTGGGCAACAGAGCGAGATTCCATCTCAAAAAAAAAAAAAGAAAAGAAAAAAGAAAAAAAAATTGCCCCTCTTACTAAGTGTATTCTACAGAATTTATTTGAACCAAAAGTACCTGTACTCATAGAATGGTAGTACTTCAGCTCAAGAAAGTTAAGTCAAAAGAGGCCTTGAGGGGACCAACGTTTTCCAAATAAGAAAACTGATGCCTGGTAGAGTGCCATGCTTTCTCAAAGCAGCTTGATGACAGAGCCAGGGCTTGAAGTCTCTAGTGACCCTGTATGCAACCCTTTGAGAAACTGTCCATGTGTCATTTTATATCTACATTCTCAAAACTGTAGTGTGTTTTATAACTCAGAGTGTCAGAGTTAATTGGAAGTCAAAAGAAGAAGGTATCCAATTGAACATCTAAAACAAAACAGATTTCAAGTAGGCACACATGGAAGGAGAATTACCTGTGTTTCTGCTTTAGAAAGTGTTTGGGGAATGAGGCTAAGCACTTAAGAGTTAGTTAATATTTACCATGCTGTGTTATAATCACAAGAATCTGAGCTGATGCTGTTGGGTAAAAATGGTCTCCATCTTTTCAGAAAGCAGCTTCTATCCAGCCATGGGGAGGGAACAAACAAGACCATGGAGAGACATGACTGAATTATTAAAAGCCTCGTCTACTTATAAGGATTAATTGTGAGTTCTGAATCAATATTTTATCATTTTAGCTAGTGAAAAATTTATGAGACAGCCCCTTTTTTGCAAGTGCCCCAGTATAATTAAAAGAGATCTAACCTTTCAATTGGCATATTTTTCTGCTTATACCTAGATGACATTGATTAGCTAAGCCCTAATCGAGCTAGGAACAGTCTCTTAGACCCTCTTTACTCAGTATCATTGTACCCATATTCCCTGTATACACACAATGCTTAATGTATTAATTTATTCACTCACTGAGAAAACACGTGTTGAGTATTCAAATGAAAATCACTGAAACAGATGCCATGGGATATATAGTGATAAGAGATACATAGTCCTGGTCTACCCACAAAACCCAGACATCATTATGATTAAGCACCTACATGTAATCCAGCTTTTCTTAGGTCACACCACTGTGTATATATGTGTGTGATGTGTGTTTTTGTGTGTGCGTGTATGTGTGTGTATGCAATGGATGTAGTTATTGATTCACAATAACAAAACAAAAAGCCTAAATTCTCCTGTCTCCTACTTAACATTGTCAGATATATTCTATATCCTCTTTTTAGTATCTTTCCTAAGATAATACTTTTTTGAAAGCTCTCAGGAAGTGATCCACATAGAAGCAGTGTAAAAAAATGGATGTCAGCATGAGCTTGGAATTTGAATCCAGACTACACAGCTTAATAGTTTTGCGACCACAGACAAGTTTCCTAATCACAGTTTCACCATTTGTAAAATAAAGATAAACAAAGTACCTCCCTCCACATATTTGTTATAAAGATTAATGAGAATAAAAATGTGTGGTACAGTGCCTGATGTAAAATAAGTGATCCATTGTTATTTATTATAAATACGTGTCTAGTTTTATGTATCATATATTTCATTGGCTCTGAAGTGCATTTTTTTCTATTTCAGCATCTTTGAAATTGGGATGTGATTTAGAATCTACAATGTCTCAAACGTGATGAAAGAGAGAATTATATGAAAGAGAGAATTATATAAAGCACATATTTATATAACAATAAATGATATGTATTATCATGGGCTCATGGACAATCGCATCAGCAATGTTAATATTTCTATCCTTTTATTCCTTCTTGATCCAGTTCAGTGTGGTGAGTCAATGTTTAGGTCCAGGTATCATGATGTGGGCTTTATAGCTAGGACTCAACGAGACTTCTTGCTGTGCTGTTGTTGTTGTTGCTGTCTGCTGATACCTGAACTGGGGTGTCTAGCAGTCAAGATCTGGTGCATCAAGTAACTATGGAGAGCATTAAGGCCTATTACTACAGGAATGATTTGAGCTTATTATGACAAAAGTCAGTGTAATTTCTGCTAATGTGGGAGATCTTTTGGCTATACCTTTGTATCACACTCTGTTGCCCACAACTCAAGGCAGTTCTGCCTGGGACCCCTTATACTTGAATGTATTCGTTAAATAGCTCATTCAGGTTTGGTTTGCAGACTGTCCTTGAGCTCAGGCAGGAGGGAGAAGTTAAGTGACTGGCAATGTGTGCTTATCACACATTGTCCCCTTTCTCAGGAAAATATGAATATCTGACTCTTATTGAAAGACAAGTTGTTTCCTAGGTGTCTGATCACTCCCAAGCTGCCTGTGTGTGCTGCACAAATATCACAGCAGAGCGTTCAGGTGGGGATGTGCAGTGTGTGGTATGGTGGTCCTGGTGTCTGTTCCTGTGCTGTCTGTTTCACTTGTCTGTGCTCAGGTGCATTTCCTGCATTTCCCCTGCTTGGCTTCATATCATAGGGGATTGACCCCTGCAAACTCTGTTTCCCAGGACTCCCTCTCCTTCTGGCTTCCAGCTAGGTCTGGGCAACAGTGAACACTCACAAGAGTTTGAACAGAGGGAGAAAAGAAAAACTTGAGTTAGTTCTCATTTTCTCTGTTTTTGGTAGTGTTGTTAGAGAGGACTGCATGTCTCCTATGGTTCCCGTTCTTGCTGGACATCTCCCCTTGACCTCACCTCCTACCATTTCTACCCCACCAAGGTAACCAGTCTCTCGGACTCTGGAAATTCCATTCCCTCCCTTATTCCTGTAGCCTAAGGGTGATAACAACTTTCTAGTTTTGCTAATTTGGGGGTTACCTTTTTATCAACTGTTTGGTATTTAAGCTCCTCCCACATGTTTGTAGCTAGTTTTCTATTTTAAAACCTTACTAGTTGGCTACCTGGAATGGGTTTCACTTTCCTGATATAGGCCCATGCAAATAGACCTCAGGAGTCCCAACCCTACAAAATACCTACCCAGGTGTATCTGAACACTGGTGAAGGCAACATAGACTTTGCTTGGATCTGTAATACAGGCATATATTGAATCAATTAACATATGGTCAAATGTGAAGACAGAGTCATTGAAGAGCCATCTGGAACTTTTGAACAGGCTGATAGAAAAGATGGCGAGGGTGGTGATGAATGTTTCAGTGCATGGAGTTCAGGATGAGGGGTGGCATTTCTGAAAAATGAAACATCACATTTAGGCTGGGCGTGATGGCTCAAGCCTGCAATCCCAGCACTTTGGAAGGCTGAGGTCGGAGGTTCAGTTGAGCCCAGGAGTTAAAGACAAACCTGGGAAACAAAGCAAGAACCCCTCTCTGCAAAATAATACTAATACTGCTAATAATAATAATAGTTAGAATAATGATTCAGTTTGGAGTATGGTATACTGTGGAAGACAGGGAAGATATTACAAATTAATAATAATATCAGTGACAACTAATATTTATTTTCATTTTAATATTTGCCAAGCACTAAGTGGTCAGTATACATTCTGTAATTTATTCGTAGAAAACCTTGTAATGGAAGCATTGTAAGCCACATGTAATGATGTGGAAACCTAAGATGAGAAATGAGAGTAAGTCTTTAAAGTAGAAAATGAAAACTAAGTGGCAGAGCTAAACTATCAAATGTGATGCCAGCCCCATCTACTCAGCCCAGACTTACTTTTCAGCCTTCAACAGGCCAAGCCGATGTCCACTTTATGGCATTTTCACATTTGCTTTTATATCCTTGGAATGTTGTGCCTCCTGATCTTCACCTTTTCCTCTTTTTGACATCTAGAAATAGTGTATCCATGTATTTGTTTCTGATTATTTTCTCCTGCGCCTACTTCAGCTAGAATATAAACTTCATAAGAGCAAGAACTTCAACTACCTTTCACTGTTGTGTTACTTGTGCCCAGAACAGTACATGGTATGGAGCTACATCATAATTATTCATTGAACAGAAGAATGGCACATAATAGGGCTTTAGTAAATATCCATTCTCAACTCCCTGTGTGTCCAAAAGTCAGTCCCTCAGCCACTTTCAAGGGCATAGACTGCATACCCATAAAGGTCAATGGATCTGCTTTCAGAAAAAAAAAAAAATAAGGCAATCTATAAGTGGCAGCATTTGGGACGATCTCTCCCAGCTAACTATTATCGTTTAGGCTGAGAAATGAGATTCGTACCCTGCCAAACTATTTATACTTTTTAGGTAATTAAAGTAATGAAGTTGTCTGGGAGCACAACACATTGTGTGCTATCCCCTCAGGTCCAATTCATCTGCTTTAGTTTCTGACTCCAGTTAACAGTTTTATGTAGGAAAATCACATAGAATAGTGGGAATTCATGCAGAGCCACACGCCGGAACAAGCTATTTGCTATTTCCAAGAGAGAAATGAATGAGGAAAGGAAACAGGGCTTAAGTCTGCTTTCTCTGTTTCATGCAAGAACTGTGTATTTTAAATAGGCCTAATGAGGCGTGGGGAGTTTCAGCCTATGCAACACAAGCCCTCTATGTGGACATTGGAAAGCACTTTGTATTTAAAAATATATACATAGATGTAAACATATAGAGACAATTTATTTTGCCAGAGATCAGTGTAGCATAAAGGGTATGTGTATTCCTATAGAAATATTTTTCTCAAACAGGACACAAAGCACTGTTTCTTTGTTAAGACAAAGCCTTAGGCAGGAAATTCCCTCTGGGGTGGATAGTTTGAGCTTCTGCACACCTTCAACAGCCTCTTCCTTTCTACAGGTTCAGCCTAAGAGGCAGAAGTCTTAAGGCAGGCTCTCTTGCATCTACTCTGTCTGGAGGCAATGGCTTTCCTGGTTCCCTACCTCTTGGACCTTGGCTGCAGGCCAGCAGGAACACAGACATGCCAGCCAGTAGGTTAGTTATGCTTTCTAATTAGTCACTGCCAATCTCTGGAACATTTTCTTTCTTTTTTTCTAATTTTCCCCTCATTTGTTTTACTATGTAGATGGCTTTCAAATTTGTCTTCAAATAATTACAAATATTCCATACCATTCCAATTGAGGTGTAGAAAACAGAGTGAAAATATGATGTTCACAACACTGGGGAAAACCCACCAGGTTTCCTCTCACCTGGGCCCAGACAGTACTGGGGAGCAAGGTAAATAAATCTTCAGATCTGCCTATAGACACTGGAAGCCGCATGTGTGAGCCAATTTTGCTGTTTTTCATGCCGATGTGTTTTACTACGATTCTCTTCACAAATATCCCTTCAAAGATCACCTTCCATCCAGGTCTGACATTCAGACTGTGTACTAGAATGGCTATGTCTGGTCTTTCTGTTTATTAAAAAAACAACAGAAATATTTCCGTACAAGCTGGTAAATAGCCATGCCCTGAGCTCCCTAGATTCCCCAGCTTCCCTGGCCACCTTGACTCAGAGAAACCTTGATTTTCAGGATCCAAGTTTATATCTGGCCCCACAGGTGGTCTGTCAACCTGTTTCAACACTGTAGATGACAGCAGTTGTGACTGCCTGACCAAGTTTTGAAGATTAGGAATAGCACTTCTGCTTCTAATAAAAAGGGGGTTCATCTTTATAGTGCCATCCAGTCTTCCCTCACTTTGGGAATAACTTAGATTCCATGAGAAGAGCTAGAAGCACTGTTAGAAGACAAAGCTGCACAGCACAATACAGGCTTGGGGGTCAGCCTGAAATGTATTTTAATTTTACTTGCCAGTTGGATGAGTTTCTGCAGTTGTCTTCTCCAAACATTGCTATCATATTTTGTCTTTGAACTTCAGTAGCCTGATCTGTGAATCAGAGTAGTAATTGGAATGCAAGCAAGAGGAATAGAAGTGACTGATATTTGAAAAACATTTTTTAAGGATGCAATGAAAAATAATTTACTGCAGTTCACAGAGTCAAAGGAGGAATTGAGCAATGGAGCATTGTTGGGAAGAGTAAAAACCACAGCAGAGCCGGGTGTTTCTGAACAGATGGCCGGGCTTCAACTATGTTCCATTTCCCTTTATATTTTATTTTATTTTATGTCTTGGAGACAGAGTCTCTCTCACCCAGGCTAGAGTACAGTGGCACGATCTAAGCTCACTGCAACCTCTGCCTCCAGGGTTCAAGCGATTCTCCTACCTCACTCTCTCAAGTATCTGGGATTACAGGTGTGCACCACCACGCCTGACTAATTTTTATATTTTTAATAGAGAAGGGGTTTCACCATGTTGGCCAGGCTGGTCTTGAACTCCTGACCACAAGTGATCTGCCTGCCTCAGCCTCCCAAAGTGCTGGGATTACAGGCGTGAGCCACCATGCCTGGCTATTCATTTGTATTTTATTAAGATTCATATTTTTGGGACAGAGAATCTGGTTGCGCTATTTGTTCTCCTGTCTGTCCCTATATCTAGGAGAGCAAGTCTGTTTTATTGGTAGCCCCAAAAGAATAGGGAAGAGGAATTTCCTGAAGAAAAGGAAAACAAGTAAACAACAATAATCAAGATATCTACTTATCCACTAGACATTAATCACAGGGTACCACAGAGTTTAAAGGAGATAACATATATCAATTGCTTAGCTTAGTATGTAGTTCAAACACTCAATGAATAGATGCTAATAATATAATGAATGATAATAATGCGGCATAGAAGAAATATAATATCAGTGCTATTAAAAGTAGCAGCTGCTGGGTGTGGTAGCAGGCACCTGTAATCCCAGCTACTAGGGAGGCTGAGGCAAGGAGAATCCCTTGAACCTGGAAGGTGGGGTTTGTGGAAAGTGAGCTGAGATCACACCGCTGAACTCCAGCCTGGGCAACAGTGCGAGGCTCGGTCTCAAAAAAAAAAAAAAAAAAAAAAAAAAAAGCAGCTGTAGCGCTGGTAGTATGGTGAGAATATGGTCTTTAGCTTTAAAAGGCTAGATATAAGATCAATGGCAAATCTGAGACTCATTTTCTTCATTAGAGAATGAGGGATATAATAGTTTTTTTGAGTTACTAAATTAAATAACATAATGTACATAAAGCACTTATGGTTCATGGCTAAGTACTAAATTTTTTGTGTGTGTGTATATGTCCTTATGTGTGTATATATATGTGTGTATGTATGTATATATACCTCTACACCTAAATTTATATATCTTTATCTGACATATATGAGATTATATCTTAGGACTTTAAAGGAATCATAAAATCCATGATTAAGGTAGGTTTGAGGTTGTGTCTATGGGTAGCCTTTCCTTGACCCCCTTCCATCTACAAATAGGCTCCCTTATCATCCACATGTAGATAGATCTGGCATTTCATTCTATAAAACACATCTGCCTCTTGCAGTCTTTGTGCAAGAATATTGTTTCCTCATCAATTTTAAGGGTGATTTATTATTGTTTTTGCTGTTATTATTTATTTTCAAACCCCACATTAATTATTCAAAATTAATAACAGCTGCATTTGTAAAATGAGATCTAGATAGAGATGAAAGAATCTGCTCATGAAGCTGACCCCAGTCATGCGTGACTCAAAGCCCACTCCATGCTCCTTTTCTGTGCTTCCTTCTGGAGAAGAAAAGCTCAGAGCCAGAGGGGTTGATGTCATTAAGAACAAACGGACACTTTCCTGGTGACTTCCTTGGGAATTGGTCCTTTGCTTTCCTATCTGAAGTCCACCTTGATAAAGCAGCTGGCCCTTTGTACTGAAAGGAGGGGTTATCTCTTTTCAGGGAAATCTCTGCTTTGAATTATTCGTCTTTGAAAGTAAATGCATTAATAAAGTTGTCTCACTACAGAAGAGGACACAGTCTATCAGCCTAGGTCCCCACTATGTGTTTTGTTTTGTGATGTTCCAGAATACAAGGGGAGGAACATTAGGCATAAATGACATTAAAACAACTTGAGGTCAATAGATGATGGAACTAAGTAGTTGCCATAGTGGTAGTTTTCCCCAACAGCTGCTGTCCATTCAATCCTAGCTAATTGTTTACCCTTTGACACACAACTAGATGTATTTCAAAGTGGTCCCACTCAACTATTTAAATAAATTATGATGCAAAGATGTAGTGTAGCACTGGCAGCTGTTCTTTTTAAAGACTCTATAATGACATGGGAGAAATCTTTCAAATATATTGTTTGGTGGAAAAAAAAAAGTCAGGATTCAAACATGATGTAATATAATCTCAAATAATATGCTTATATAAATTTTTTTAAAAAGGCAACTATTCAAAATTCTACGTTCCAAATATTCTATAAAAAATATATGTTTCTTTATAGACATAAAAACAATAACTGCTCTGCTGTTAAAGAGGGCTTCAGCAGTTCTTTATGCAGCCTAAGGATCCTGGTAAGGAATGTCACTGGACCCACCCATCCCTGGAAATCTAGGATGCCCTCATCCCTTTTCATGAAATGTATTCTTCTACATGTGATTGCCCAGGAAGTGACTTTAGTCCACTTACCACTTAGACTTTCAGATAAGATTCGAAGTCTATACCTGACCACATTATTTCAATTTGAATGGTGGAATCTTGCCACTTCCATACTGAATTCATACTTAGGAATTCCATTATATTCCCCAATTCATTTTTCCACCTTGTTTTATGATGTATGTACCTAGTAAGCTGTCCCCCTCTAGACTGTGGGTTCTGTAGAGGACATAGAGTGTCAGATTCTGCAATACATTCTTTGTGTCAGCAGGTCACCAAAGAGCAAACAGTGCTAAAAATTGGTATGAGCAAGGTCTTCTTAATGCCAACTGCTTTGGGGTCTGCAAAGATTACTATATTCCACATCTTTTTTTGTCAAGGAGAGAACAAGGTGAGATAGATATGGTGATTATGTGGTGACAAGAACACAAATAACTATTATATAGTCATAGGACAGAAGACGTGTCAGGTTCTCATAGTATAAGCAAAGACTTGAGAGATTCAACGGAGATTGAAATCATATGGTTTAGTGGGTTTCCGAGGATGACTGATGAAGGATTTTTCCCTCATGTTGGGACTTGAAGGAGATAGAATTTGGTAGGCCGATAATAGGGTACTTGAAGAAAAATGCAAAGCATGCATAATTGGAAAGTGTGGATAATTTCCAAAGATGGGTATATCTCTGGGAGCCAAGAGAATTTACTTCTTACTGTGTCATAAGGAATAACATAGAGAATGCAAGGTACTTAAGTCAAGGTCCTATTGCCAGGGTTAGTTTGTTACAGGGAGGTTATTTTCAATTTGTAGGAACTGGAAAATTACAAGTGGTTTTCATGTAAAGTTATGATATTACTCAACCGTGTGGAAGCCTGATTTATTTAGAAAGAATCTAGGGACGGGGATACTAATTAGGGGGTTATTATATTATTTTGTTAAAGATAGAAGGAGAAACTAGATTTGCAGCATCGGGAATAGAAAGGAGAGAAATACTGAAATGCACAAAATCCATGTATCTAAATCATAGCCATTTTGCAAGGTACATAATGTTCTTTACAACCTATACTTAATTTGTAACTCGTGCAATAATGGATTACAAGTCTCACCTACCCACATGCATTTCTTCCTCCATGAGTACATCATTCTTCAAGCAATTCCACATCATTCTCTAGTCTGTTGTTTTGTGCATGCCATCTTTGTCCAGAATCCCCTCTCAGTAGCTCAAATGCTGCTTCTCAGTATCTATTGACTCCTCCAGGAAGTTCCATTTAATTTTTCTGACAATATTTAGTCTAATATTTGATAATGCATGGTAATCTAAATGAATGCATATCTGTCTTTCCCACTAGAGCCTGAGTTCTCACTCCCAACCTCAGGATATCTGCAAATTCAAAAAGCATTTCTTTTAAGCCCTCTAAGTCATTGCCCCAAATATTAAACAGGACAAGGCCAAGGCCCTGTCATCCTCCATTAATTTTATTTTAAAATATTTATGGAGGCCTGCACTCTGATGAATGCTGTGCAGGATTTAGAAAAAGTAAAATACATAGTTCCTGTTCCCAAATTGCTCACAATATAGCACAAAAACAAGACTAACACTTGTAAAACAATTAGAGGACAAATATCACATTATATAATTAAGGGTTTAATTGTGTGGTGAAGATTTACAGGAGACTTAAGTGGAGGGAGATTGGAGAGCATGAAAAAGTCAAGAATGGCTTCATGGAAGAGATGGAAAGAAACAAAAGAGAAATAGCAATAGGACTGGAAGGTGTTTCCTAACTAAACCACCTGCTCTGACTTTCTCCCTTGTGACATATACCTCTGAGACTTGTCTGGGACAGATGGAGACATGGATGTGCAATGGCTCAGAGTCAGGGGATGAGGCAGGAAAGGACGTGAACATAGACATTTTGAAAATAAAGAACTAAACCAGCAGTTTTATAGGACAAATCAGCTTTATATATGAACAGTTCATTTCATCTGAAGTTAGAAATAGAGTTCAGCTGACATATTCACTATCTCTTTCATCAAGATTCAAAAAAAGTTGGTAAACCAGGAAGAAACTGATTCCTTTATAATAATTACTAAAAGGCCCTTGTATCCAAATCTTTCCTCTGAACAATTCAAAGCAGTCAAGGAATTGAACTCTAGCTATTCAAATGAGACAAATTTTAAACAACTATAGACATAAACATTAATGCTGATATTTATTTGAAATTATTTGTCTTTGATCTATTTTTGGCTTATCATTCTAGAACCAATGACAACACATGATTTGCAGATTATAAAAACCTGGCTTGGCCGGGCGCGATGGCTCACGCCTGTAATTCCAGCACTTTGGGAGGCCGAGACGGGCGGATCACGAGGTCAGGAGATCGAGACCATCCTGGCTAACACGGTGAAACCCCGTCTCTACTAAAAATACAAAAAAAAAATAGCCAGGTGCCTGTAGTCCCAGCTACTCGGGAGGCTGAGGCAGGAGAATGGCGTGAACCCGGGAGGCGGAGCTTGCAGTGAGCCGAGATGGCGCCACTGCACTCCAGCCTGGGTGACAGAGCGAGACTCCGTTTCAAAAAGCAAACAAACAAACAAACAAAAAAAGCCTGGCTCAAACCAGGTATCCTGAGAAATGAGATGTATTCCATTTCCGCATTAAAGCTGCATAATGTTAACACGGTGCATGGAATAAGAGGTTGCCATCAATGAAAACCCGCTGCAGTACTGTATTTTGTCCATAACCTTGTTTTTCTTCGATATCAAGAAATTAATTTTTATGCCGAGTTTTTTAGTCCATGCATCTGAGAATTAATAATTGTGTAGAATTGAGGATGAGCCAAAAAATCAAAATGTGAAGGTAGATTTAATATTTCTATCTTCAAATGGTTTGCTGTTTTTTTGTATTGATATTTTATGAACACCAGCAGCAAAAGTATGCATATACACGTATACACACACGTATATGACAGTGTATATACATATATTTTTGAAACACACTATTCTTGTATAATAATATTGAAACAGAATATTTCTCTGAAATCTTTAGATTAATTTGCATCACTTTTATATAATTTTCTCTCTGTATGATTGAAGAAATATTTGGGTTGTCAGGCTTAGTTACATATAAAGAGAACAATCAGAAATAGTGAAAATTTACACGTGATATGTTTTTCTCCATCTGACTTTACTGCCTTTTACCCACAAGGTGGCACTCTCTCGATATGTCTAAATTCAAGCCTTTTTAATAAAGATACATCAAAATAGAAATCTTCCTCAACCAACCTTCATTGTTAACAACCTTCCCAAAAAACAAAGTGAATTCACAAATGCAGTTTGGAAAACTAGTATGGTTAAATGTATCGCATAGATCCCTTACAAGATGTCACTGTTTATATTGTAAATCTGTAAAGTCCTTAATTCTGGATCAGTCAATTTAGGTCTGATTTTGTTCTCAGTATGAACAGCAAAGCGGATTGTCCCTACTAAATCTGATTAGTCTTGAGGCACCTCTATTCAGTATTTCTTCTTAGGAAGTACACAGGCGCAGCCCAGAGGATGGGGTTTATGGAGAGAACTGGTGTGCTGTGATTGCAGTGACCACATGTCCCCAGTTTTTTTGGACAAAAATAATTTTAAATGGGCTTTTCTAATAACCACATCTGGATATTCATATTTCTAGAGAACGTCTTCCTTTTTTTTTTTTTTTTTTTTTTTTTTTGAGACGGAGTCTTGCTGTGTCTCCCAGGCTGGAATGCAGTGGCGCGATCTCGGCTCACTGCAAACTCCACCTCCTGGGTTCAAGCAATTCTCTGCCTCAGCCTCCAGAGTAGCTGGGACTACAGGCGCCCACCACCATGCCTGGCTGATTTTTGCATTTTTAATAGAGACAGAGTTTCACCATGTTGGTGAGGATGGTCTTGATCTCCAGACCTGTGATCCACCCACCACGGCCTCCCAAAATGCTGGGATTACGGGCATGAACCACTGTGCCTGGCCCCAAATTTTTAAATTCAAAAATAGTTAATATTAAAGACAGTCTTGATCTCCTTCTCAACCAAGTGTACATGGAGTCTGTTAGCAACATGACAACAGATGTTCAGTCCTTTTTTAAGTTCAATATTGGCCCTGGGAGATGTCCTATTCATTGGCCGGTGGATGCACAAAGATAAGGCTCTGGCAGCTAGATCCTAGGATCAAGTCCTCCCTATCAGCTTTCACTGCCTTTCTTAGAAGCTGTTTCAGGAAAGAGATATGGCCTTTGCTTGAGACACTTCCTTTGAAATTGAACTCTTAAAAATCAGAGAGAGCATCCCCCAAAAATAGTTCCATAGATCTACATTCTAGTTTTTTAGTCAGAATTTTATAAAGCCTCTTTTCTTACCATTGAATAATTATAAAATAAAGAGTTTTTCAGTAGTGAAAATGATATGTTTTCTATATCATGCAATTGCTAGGTGCACACTGGGTAGTGCCTACAAATAAGAATATTAGAGATCTCGCCCCTCACTGACCCCCTTATGTATATAAAAGAAAAGCAAGTCATACTATAACTGGTTGTCACTAAGACAGGTTAGAGTAAGGTAACAGATTTGTTACAATCCACATCTCTGCCTTTTACCTAGGTAGAGATAAATCAGCAACAAATTCTACATTCTACTAATGATTCTACTAGAGATGCAGTCTGCTTATGTTTCAAAGCATTTTCTTGGTACATGGAGCAGCTGATTAAAATGTCCATGAGGGAAAGCTCATGTATAAAATGAACTCAATTTGAATGAAAGGAGGTGGAGCCTGTAGAAATTTCAAATACAGAAGAATGTGAAGTGGGTAATGATTACAAGGAACCGGCAAAATAGAATAAAATAAAAATTTGATTAACTAAAAAATGGACTAGACAGAGAGAGGCACTGTGTAAAATTTTTATACAAACAATGTCCTCCCTTGTATTATTGTGGAAATGACAACTGGGAGGAGTTACGGGCTTGCAAAATTGAGTAGATGCGATAAAATGGGAGTTTTGCTTTGGGAAACATCTTTGATGCATATGGTATTGTGAAAAGCATTACAGCCCTGGCATAAATAATCTAGGTATAAGTATACCTGATAGACACTTGCAGGCAGTAATGTAAGTGGAAAGTAAACAGAAGGATTTGATTTGATTTAAAATGAGGAGGGAATCTGATAAAACAGAGACTATGATAGAGGAGTCAAATGGAAGAACAGGAGTTATAAAGCAGACACAAATCAGCATAAAGAGATGAATATGAATATAGAGATGAGCGAAATATCAGCCCAGCCCTAAATATGTTACACACTGGGCTCCTGCTGTACACAAAGAATATATGCTACCTGACCTCAGAGGCTACAAAGGGGAACAGCATAACACAGAATCTTTTACCAATAATATTATAATCTTATTGAGGAGAAAAGAGATAAATACATTAAAAAGTTAGGTTTAATACAAGCATTAACAATACAACAAAATTTTTACAACATAATTCATGAAGAGTTACAGAGAGACAAATCACATAACTGTAAATGGAGTTTATCATCAACATTAAAAGGAAAAAATAGATAATCAATATCACATCAATTTCTTGGACACACTTTTATACAACTGTTTGAACTCTGATAATAAGAACTAACACAAGCTAAGGTAAAATGATATAGGCATATCGAGACTTTGCTTTAGTATTTATGGTTTTCCAAAATGTAAGCTTCAGCCTTTGAGCTCAGCAATTTAAAACTGTAACGGCTATGTTTGATAACTCAGAAAAATATGCTTTCTAAGTCCTTTATTTTTACATGTTTATTCTATTAAAGCAAAGGAAAAAAGATGCTAAAATAGAAAAACGGTCTCTATACTTAAGTTAATTTAGCTTGCGTACCAATATTTTTAAAAGTAATTTTTGGATCCCAGGGAGAATCACTCACTCACATTAGATTTTCTTTTTAAATCTTGCCAGTGGTCATTAATTATGTACAATCATTTGTGACATTTAAAACTGTTAATTTCCTTTGTGATTTAGGCTGTGGGGATTTTATTTTTCAAGGAAACAGTTTCTCAAAACCCATACTGTAAATGATTTTAAAAATACCTCAATGAATAGTAACTATTTCTTCTTCTTATTATTATTAATCTATTTGAGTACCTAGGCCAGGAACTATGTATACATCAACCCTAGTTGACAAATTTGTAGTTAAGTCATTCAAAAGACAGGAACACTCAGAAAGGTAAAGTGATATTCCCCAACTAGAAAATGGTTGAGGGAAGGTTTATTTCCAAATCTGCCTAATTCCCAAATCATTGTTCTTTCCACCAGCTAATGCTGCCTCCTTAGAGAGAACCATATTGAGATGCTGCCATATTATAGATGCCTCTGTGTGTGTGTGTGTGTGTGTGTGTGTGTATATGTGTGTGTGTGTATGTGTGCGTGCGCTCAGAGGCTTTCACACAAATTTTTATATCCTAAATAAGTCTCTAACCAGCTTTATAATTTGGCAAAAACTGAAGTGCAAATTAGAATTAGATTATTTGTTTTATCTTTTCTGTTCTCGGCCTGCACTACCTTCATCCTATTCAAGAAAAGAGACTTTGTTGGGTGGCATGAAATTGGTTGCCAACGACTCTTAGGTGTCTTTTTGTTTTTATTTGCTTCCAGGGACTGATATTTCAATGGCTGCATAGTACCTGACCTAAAGGGGATACTCAATAAATGTCCTTGAAAGACTGAATTGTATTAATCTGTGTTTATATCTGATTGTTCCACACATAGCCCTTGTTTTCCCTCGTCTTGAAAATACCCAAATACACATTGCAATTTTATGTATTAAATAAAATGTATTCTCAGATGCACTTACATATGGACAATGTTTTAAAACTCACTTATATTTGCATTTGAAAAGCTTGTATCAGACCATTATATAATCTAACAATTATTAGGGCTCTTAGAGATACTATGGTTGAACCCTTTCATCTTACTGAAAGATAAAATTGAATCTTTGAGAAAGTAGGACATCTTTGTTTTAAAATTAAATAAGATTATAAATTCACCTAGGAAATTTAGAGATGTGTTTCTTTCAATAATGGTAGTGTTTCCTTATGTTGGTGACCGCTCCTTCCCTTGCTGGCTTACCTTTTGTGGCTGGGTAGGAGGCAGTGTTGCATGGAGTGTTGGGGTCAGAATGACCTGAGTTTGGGATATAACTCTGACATGCTTGACATGTGGCTTTGAGCAAATTACACAATTTTCTCTACCCAGAATTTCATTTTTTTAAATAAATTAAGCATTATAATAACTATCTCCAGAGATTGTTTTAAAGATTAAATGAGATACTGTATGGTAAGAACTTAGCATAATCCTCTTATAGTAAATGTTCAATAAATCTCAGGTTTTAGCACTGTTGTGACATAACCACTGCTTATAGTCTTTGAGTTTGAAGATGTCTATTTAACCTCTCTAAAATACATTGAAATGAAAAATGTTAATCATTCCTGCTCTGCCTACTGTGGCACTCCTACTGTGATTCCTTACCCTAACACCTCCTTTACTGGCTTTTCTCCTGCTCTGAATTTCTTTCTCCACTCTCATCATCTTGTTAAATTTTACCTTAAATTAACTATGTGCTCCCAAACCTTTGACTCAGGCTCTGTCTGTAGGAGAGTTCAGCAAAGACAGCCCTTTATATGAATTCACTTTCAGAGCTAAGTAAATTAAAACCAAATTTAAATGGATTGTTATGATAAAGAAATTTGTTTGATTCACACAATTCAAAGTCCCAGAGAAAATATTTATTCCTGCCCTTTTACTAAAGTGCCAATATTACAAAGATTTGATTTCTCTCCAACACCTTGCTTAGACTTCTAATATACCGGCTTTATCCTATGGTTGCTATTCCTCATGGTCCCAAGATGTGTTCCAGAAGGTTCCACAGTAAGATGCATTGCCATTTATGGGTGATGTGAACGACGTGATGTCTTCATTCCAGGGTGCTTAGAAAATTTCCTGAGATTCACCCTGACTGCATCAGCATATGTTCCATGTCCATGCCTGTACCAATCACTGTGACCAGGGAAATTAAACATGTGGATTGGCTTAGATTCAGTTATGGGTTTCAGCCTAGAGTGGGTGAAGGAAGCAGCTTCTTTGAACCTATAGAGATTCCCAAGCAGAAGTTGAAGCTGCTGGGAAGGGTTAACACCTGGGAAGGTGGTGAGCAGGTAATAAAAAATGTCGGCTGGGTGTGGTGGCTCACGCCTGTAATCCCAGCACTTTGGCAGGCCAAGGCAGATGCATCACTTGAGGTCAGGTGTTCAAGACCAGCCTGGCCAACATGGTGAAACCCAGTCTCTACTAAAAATACAAAAATTAGCCAGGCATGGTGGTGCATGCCTGTAATCTCAGCTACTCGGGAGGCTGAGGCAGGAGAATGAGTTGAACCTGGTAGGTGGAGGTTGCAGTGAGCCGAGATAGCACCATGGCACTCCAGCCTAGGCGACAAGAGCGAAACTCCATCTCAAAAAAAAAAAAAAAGTCTACTACTTGACTTCACATGATTGCAGTGAAACAAAAAGGAAATGATATTTGTGAATATTCTCTATAGTATAGCTATAAGGTGATATACAAATATCTGGTTATTGTCATCTGATTTTCCTTGGCAGGAGCATCTCAGGAGGTCTATCCGTTTGTCTCTAACCCATACCAAGGACTCTATGCAAAATAGTCCCAAGACCAACTTCACTTCTCCTTGGTGCTCAGTGAGAATGGTTGCTGCCTTTTGAGCCATGGCACACCAGCAGATGTGCATGGGCAGAAAAGCGCTGATAAATTTCTATATAGACAGAAAGAGCAATGCATGTGTTCCTCTGGGCAACATTTGATATTCACTGAAACAGCTGTTATCTCTCAGTCATTGCACATAAGGTTAAAGTGAATAGGATATTGTTAGTATAGACTCAAGCAGTTTTTTTTTTTTTTTGTAGCAATAGGACCACACCACACATGGGCCATTCTGCCATCTATGAGACTGTTCAATTTTGTTCCTCACAAGAGGAAAGAAATAACTTGAATCCACAGAAAACGTTATAGACTACCCTAAATATAGCATGCATTCTGCTTTCCATATTCCAAAGCTCTGAAACAAATTCAGGAAGTAACTTTGACTTCTTGTCATCAACTATGATTTATTTAAGAATAGCATTCCAAAACCTGAGTCCCAGAACCAACTAAATTAAAAAGATGAAACACATTTTAAAATATGTGACGGTGTTTAGATCAAAAGGATCCCAAATGCTGAGGTAATTGTCTTAGTAAATAATACGATGGGCACTTCAAATATGAACAAGTGATGGTCAGAGCGCAGATAGAATTTTTAGATGACATTTAACAAAATGCAGTGAAGATGGCCAATGTAAATGTTTTTCTTTTTTTCTTAATAAAAGAACATAGGGGCCATATGCTGAGGCACAAACAGTTGGAAAATGCAGTAATCCAGGAAAAAGAAGCAGATCAGCATTAATTCTAGCCTTGCTTTGTAGCGATAAATGTGTTTTTTAAAATGACTAATTGAATACATGACAAGAAAAGACATTCCTGGAAAATAACTAGCAGTTGAGAACATATCGCTACCTTGCAGAAACCGACTCACAGTAACTTATACTGAAAGGTGAAGTCAAACAAACAGAGTTAGAATTAATAAACCACAGCAATAACTCAGGGCATTGTGAAATGACTGAAAAAAATAGTCTTTACTCTGCAAACTTTTGGCACAAAGCTGCTTCTTTAAACCTGCTTGTTTTTGCGGGAAATCACACGTGATCAATGATTCTATGAGTAAGAAGTCATGAATATTTCAGGCTGTAGTAGTCGATTAAGTACACAGGCAGGAAAGGTGAAGAGGGAAATAGCTTGAATTGGTTACTGGCAATGTCTACGACTTGATGGTATATTTACAAAAGCCCCCAAAGCATCACCTGGTTTTATGAGTTGTATCCTATCATCTGATGCCACAGATAGGGTGTAGTGGCGTGACCAAATCTGGGCCAATGGTAAGGGAGAAATATTGCAGGGAAAGATTCAAAATGTCACTATACAAAAGACATGTAATATGCAAGATTGGGATAGAAGGCAACTACAGCAACTCAGAGGCAAGAAACTGTATCAGTTCATTCATTAGCACTCCAGAGGACACATTCATACAAAGAAGAACAAGGAAGTTAATTTCAACACAAGACAAAGGGAAACTTTCTACCACTGAAAACAGTTCAAAAGTAGAAGGTCTAATCAGGTCCTTTCCAATGAATGTGGTCAGAGACCTCTACCCCCAGACATGTTGAGCATCCTCCTCAGGGCTGAACCAAATAACTAGGTGAGGATGCAAAAGCTCTGGGGGAAATCTTTTTTTAAATTTTTGTTGCCAATATTCTTTTTATTTCTTTGGGACTTTGGAAGTTAGGAAAGAATTTCTGGAGCATTTGACAAACATTTTATACGGAGATCTGCAAACAAGGAAATTTCACTGAAGTTCTCAGAATTTATGAATTGCAGGACAAAGTTATTGGCTTTAATTTCTTTGAAAATAGATATTTTTTCTAAAATGAGAAGTGTGTATATTAGGACTGAAATTGATGCGGATGCAAAATAGCATTTAAGAATAGCATTCCTAAACCTGAAAGCCTAATATGACCAAAAGAGAAAGTTAAAACTTAAGTTGTCAATATAGAAATATTATGAGATTAAATGAGAATACACATATTAAAGGTATGTCATATAAACACTGGTTCCCTATCTTTTCATGGAAAACTCAGAAGACATATTTTTATATGTGCATGGTAGAAGTGTACAAATTCTAAAGACCTCTAACTTGGTAGTAATAGTCTCCAGTTCAGAAAATCATCCACCCCTAGATTTCAATCTTTGGTTATTTAGTCAGGGGTTCTGCAGTGTCTGCAAGTTCTTGGAATGGGAGTGTTCAGGTTTTCTCTGCCTTGAATTGTGGTTGAGATTAAAAAACGCCTTGGCACATCCTGTTTGAAGTACAGTAGATGAATCAAGTTCTGGCCATGTCCCAGCTATGGATGCTAAAATGGTATCATCTCCCTCAGCAGCTAAGGTTCCCAGCCATAAAGGCCAGGCGTCTTTAAGTGAAAGCTTCAGTGGGTTAATTGACACTTAGTGAGGTGTTTTTTTTTTTTTTTTTTTTTTTTTTTTGACAGAATGGCACAATCTCTATTATCTCATGGGAACAAGATGGTAGAGTTCTGGCTATGGTGTTCTGTTGGACAACAAGGCATAGCCCACTCAGCATGGGGAAGTGTAAACTGTGGTACATTTGAGGTTCCCTGGTAGAAAACAAGAACTTCCCAAACATGAAGTGATGCATGGAGAGAAACGTGGAGATAGCATGCATGTTCTCTCCAGGTATGAAGAGAAATCTTGTTCATAGAAGACTTGAGCTAGAAGGGGATAAACTGACCTTGCCAGGAAAACAGTCTTGAAAGCTGAGGTTACAGCGATGTGGCAAAGTACAGGTCTTTTTTTTTTTTTTTTTTTTTTTTGTGCCTGCTACCTTTGTTACTGATGGGAGTCCTTCAGAGTGGTTCTTTAAAGGAATAAGATATTTCAGTATCTTGCTTAGGCACCAGATCCATACTTTTAGATGTCTTCGCCATTACACAGCCACTTCTTAGGTGCAAACCAGCCTTGACATTGCAGTGACCTTATGGATTTGGCACCAAGCCTGCTACAGGCCAAGAACCACTCCCTACTCTACCTGAACCACTTAATCCCCCAAACATGGGACATCTTATACACATCTCTCCAGACAGTGAGGACTAGCCCCTTGCAATTACTCTCCCAAGGAAGATGATAAGTGCATTCAAGGTGATTTGTCAGTCTCAGTGTGTACTCTGAAATGTTTGGCTCTATTCACTGAATAAATAAAGATGCCACATACAATCTAGTGATACATCTTTCTATTAGGCATAATGTCGGAAAAGATATACAATAGTGTTAATATTAGTGTTAATATTTAAAGCAAACACTCCCTCAGTGTTCCTTTTCAAATCTTCTAAAGTTCATAGGTGAAATTTTTAAGGTAAACTGTAAGATAACTTTGTAAAAAATGTCATCAGGATTTCAATTATGTTTGGTACATATATATTATTTGCAGAATTTTGAAAATATTAGATATATTTATTTCTTCCCACCAGATGAATAATCTATTCCTCCATTTATTTGAACTTTTTACACATTTTATGATGAATTTCTATAGTTTCCTGATTTTGGTTCTAGACTTTGTTTTATGACCTAGAGTTTTGGAATATAAAAAGCTAAGAGCTTTATATATATTATATTCTCACTATTATATCTTCATTGTTTTAAAGTTTTAAAGTTAATTTTCTTTTATTTCTAGGGACAATCATATCATTTTGAAGTAATGTCTGTGTCCTTGTTCTCATCTGTTATAATCTCAGTTGACTTTTTGTATTATTCCTGATCTTAGGAGAAAGCATCCAATCTTTCACCCTCACATATGAGATTAACTGTGAGTTTTGATAGATTTCCTTTATCAGGTTGAGCAAGTTCTCTTTTTTCCCTATCTTGTTGAGTGTTTTATTTTTTTCCAACCATGAAATGAGATTGTATTTCTTTTCAAATACCTTTATGTATCTAGTGAGATGATTGCATAGTGTTTTCCTTTTATTATATTAATATGGTGTTTTATATTTATTGACATTTGGATATTAAACCAGCTTTACAACCCTGGGATAAAGCCCACTTGGTTATAGAGTGTAATCATTTTATGTGTTAATTGGATTTGGTTTGCCAATATTTTTTCAATATTTTTTGTGTCTATGTGTCTATATTCATAACAAGTATTGGCCTGTAGATTTCTTTTCTTATGATGTCTTTGGTTTTAATATCAAGGTAATACTGACCTCATAGACAATTTCTTCCTTTTTAAAAACAGTTTGTGAAGATCTAGTATTAGCTGTTCTTCAAATGTTTGGTAGAAATTACCAAGAAGGCCCTCTGAATCTTAAGCTCTTCTTTGTGAAAAGTATTGAAATTATTAATTTAATCTCCTTAATTTTTATATTTACTTTTTATTTGTGTAAAGCATCAGATATACTTTATTTGTTAATTTCTTTCAAATTATGTGTGTTTGGTACTGATTAAGAGAATGCCAGTACCAAACACACAGAAATAAAGGAATAATAAGGAAAGAGTATTGCAACTGTATGCCAATCAGAGCAGTTCCAAACATATTTCAGCCTTTAGATTTAGAAATATGAACCTTTTATCATTTTTCTTAATCATTCTAAATTTTTGTCAATTAAGTAATATTTTAAAATAACCAGTGTTTGTTTTGTTGATTTTCTCTATGTTTATTTCATTTGTTCACACACTTATTTTAATTATTCCCTGTCTTGTGCTTGCTTTGTGTTTAGCTTGTTCTTCCTTTCCCAATTTCTTATGGCAATAGATTATCAATTTGATTTCTTCTTTTTTTTCAATATAGATGTTTAAAGATATAAATGTCTCTGTCAGGACTATTTTAGTTTCATCTTATAAGTTTAAGTTTTTGTATGTTGTATTTTTGTTTCCATTATCTCAGAATTTTCTAGTTTACCTTGTGATTTCTTCCTTGATTCTGGTTATTTAGGAGTGTGTCATTTAATTTCCATATATTTGTGAATTTCCCAAATTTATTTTTGTTATTGATTTCTAATTTAATATCATTGTGGTCAGGAAACATGGTTTATATGATTTTAATGTGTTTAAATTTACTGAAGCTTGATTTATAGTCTAGCATATTGTCTATTTTGAAAATGTTACATAGTACCAGAGAAGAATGTGTATTCTTCTGCTGAGTGAAGTGCTGTATAGATATTTGTTAGATTTAGTTGGTTCAGTGTTGTTCATGTCATCTATATCCTTGTTATTCTCTCTAGTTCTATCCATTATTGAAGTGAATATTAAAATACCTAACTATTGTTGAATTGTCCCTTCCTCCCTTCAACTCTTATAGACTTTATGAGTTTTGGGGCTGTGTTGTTACGTGTATATTTATTTATAATTGTTATTCCTTCTGGATTTATTGATGCTGTTACCATTATAAAATATCTTTCTATTGATATTTTTGTTTCAAAATCTATTTTGCCTGGTATTAGTATAGGTCAGTTTTTTTATAATTGCTGTGCGCCTGCTATATTTCTCTTCATCCTCTTACAGTCAACCTGTTTCTATATTTGAATCTAAAGATACAAAGTATCTTTCCATCCTGAGAACAGAATATTGTCAGAAATTTTTTTTAATGCATAAAGTCTAAAAAACCCTGCCCTTAATGCATTTGCATGTAATGTTGTTATTGATATAATTGGGTTTAGGTCTGCCATTTTTCTTTTTGTGTTTTATATGTCTCATGTGTTTTCCTCCTATTTTATTCCTCTTTTACTGACTTTTTTGTGTTAAGCTGAGGTTTTCTGGTGTAATGTTTTAATAACTTGACATTTGTTTTCACTTTTTTATTCTCTTAGTCATTGGTCTAGGGCTTACCATATGTTTGTTATCAGAATCTACTTCAGATTTATACTAACTTAATTATAATGAAATATAAAAATTTATTCCTATACATCTCAATTCCATGTTCTTTTCATGCTATTATCATTTTACATATTATATTTATATGTTATAATATAAAAACACATTATAAATGATATTTTATATATTTTTATGTTTATAAAAAACAGGAAAGAAAGAAGATCAAGTATATATTTATAAAGTTTGCTATATTATTATTCTTATTTTCTGTTTCTGGTTGTCTTGTTTTGTTCCTATGGATTCAAATGACAACTGATGTCATTTTATACTTCAATACAGCTTTGTTCCCACCTGACCCCTCTGTGCTGTTATGGTCAAATACATATGTTCCTCCACTTACAACGGGTTGTACCATAAACCCATTGTAAGTCAAACATGCATTTAATACCCTTATAAACTCATTATGAAATTAAACATTTATAAATTGAACCATCATAAGTCCAGATGCTTCCCAACTTAGGATGGGGTTTTGTCCAAGTAAACCCATCATAAAGTCTAAAAATCATAAGTCAAACTATCAAAAGTTAGGAACTGTCTGTATACTAGATTTCTGCATGGTATATGCCCAATATAAAAAGTACAATTATATACAAATTGTGTTAGACAATATTTTATCAATCTGTTGAGAGTAGAAAAGAGACAAAACATGCATTTATACTATCTTTTTAAATTACACAGTTACCATTACCAATAATCATTCTTTTTTCATGCAGATTTGAATTACTATCTGGGATCACTTACTTTCAGCCTGACGAAATTTCTAAGTATTTTTGTAAGATGAGTCTGCTAAGAATATATTTTCTCAGTGCTTCTGTTATCTGAGAATATATTTATTTCATCTTCATTTTTACAGATAGTTTTGCTGGATGTATAATTCTTGGTTGACAGCTTTTTTTTGTTTTTTATTTCTTCTTTCAGTACTTTGAATATGTCACCCCACTCTTTCCTGGTCGCCATTATTCCTGATGAGAAGATCTTAATCTCACTAAGTTTCCTGTGTCCAAGCAAAGTCATTTTCCACTTGCTGCTTGCAGTATTTTCTGTCTTTAGATTTCAGCATTCTTACTCTGATATACCTGGGTAGATCTTTTTGCATTCATCCTACTTGGGGTTCAATGGGCTTCTTTGATGTGCAGATCATTTTTTCATCAATTTTTAGTTTTCACTCATTATTCTTAAAATATTTTTTTCTGCTCCTTTCTCTTCTCTTTTTCAGGTACACCCTTTATGTATATGTTGGTATGCTTAATGGTGTCCACATTTCTCTGAGATTCTATACATTTTTTAAAATTTGATTTTCTCTCTGTTTTTTGGGTCACATAATCTCTATCAATTTATCTTCAAATGTGCTAACTGTATCAAATATAATGTTGAGCCTCTCTAGTGGATTTTATATTTTGATGATAGAACTTTTCACTCCAGAACTTACATGTGGCTATGTTTATAATCTTCTCAGCTAAAACATTGTCATCATAGCTTCTTTTAACATATTTAAGCATGGTTCCCTTTAGTTTTTTGATATATTTATAAGGGATACTTTGACTCAGTTCTTTTTATTCTGTTAAATCTGACATCTGGGCCTTCCTAGAGGCAGATTTTATCGTCTGCCTCTACAAAGCAGACAATATTCCTGTATATGGCTCACACTTTCCTGTTGCTTTGCATGTCTCATGATTTTGAATTGAAAACTGGATATTTTACTTCATATACTGTAGCAACTCTGAATTCTTATCTTTCTCACCCCTTTTGGCACTTCTTGTTTGTTCTTGTTTGTGTGTCTATTTGTTTAGTAATGTGAGATGACTGGACTATTTCAGTGAATTCTATTTCCCCAGTAGTGTATAGCTTCTGATGTTTCTTCTCAGAATGTGCATACTTGGCCTACATAATCTCTCTGAGCACCTGGGAAATTCTGCTTCTATTAATATCATGCCTAGCTTTTAGCATCCACAAATTGCTTTCTAATTGTTCTATTTTTTTGAAGCAATGCTTTGAGGCATAAATTGTTCCACAGTTTGATCCAGTTAAAAGTAAGGCCCCTCTGCGGGGGGAGGATCTTTCCAGTCTTGAAGGCTGCTCTGAACCCATGAAGGCTCTTATCTTATTCTCTGGTTCTCTCTATTAAATATCTATCTCATCTACAATTTTGCTTTTTGTTATGGGTATCAGAGAGCTACAAGTCTCTTCTTAATTGCTCATTTGGTGATCTCCATTGTGTTCAACAATGCCCTCAGTCATGAACTCACAGTTTCTTCCAAATTAAGTAAACTCATTTAGGAAGAGATCTGAGCTCTTTGTTCTTATTTTCTGCCTCTCCTCTGGATAGAACTTCTGTGCCACTTTAGCTGGGCTGATGGTGAAGGCAGTGGCCCACTTCTTTTAGGGTGACACCTCTACTCAACAAGTGGTACTCTGGGCAGGGAAATAGATCCTGAACTTTTGAACTTGTCCTTGTTGACATTGAACCTCTACCCTAAGCAAGTTGGGCAGGGCTGTTATAGATTCCAGTTTCCTCGATCTGTTGTGCTTGGGGCATAACTTCTGCCATTAGAGTGGGTGTTGGGGAAGGTAAAGGAGATCAGTGTTCCCACTCATGGCTACCCAGAATAGAGATTCTGCAATTCAGGGCTGGAGTGGAATGACATGTTCATGCTGTTCCTGGAGTAAAACTGTAACCCTTGACTGAGAGCGAGGTAGGGAGGAAGCCCCATGTCTTCAAATGACTGAACTAGAGTTTTCATCACACAGATCTAGGAGGGGCAGGATAGAAATGGTACTGAGTTTCGGCTTAAGTGCCACATATTTTTGCTGTTCTTACATACATTTAGTAGATTTTCTTGAATAAATGGTTGTTCATTTACTGTATACCCAGATGACAATTTCCAAAGACTTTGCATGGTTAGTTTTAAAAAAATACTCACTCACTAAATGATTTTTATTTTCTACTGGGAATGTGGTTCACTATACTCTTTACACCACTATTTTGATAGCAAATTCCTCTGGTTGCCCTTAAAATAACATCGTTGCCTTTGATACTCTGCAGGCTTACTATAATATATATAATTGGACTTGCTTTCACTTATTATGTTGGTGGCTCATTTTATTTCTCAATCTGAAAGCTCTCTCCTTTTTCATTTTGGTAGTATTCTCAGCCATATAGTTTATAACATTGCTTCTTTTTAAATGTATCCTATTTAATTTCCCCTAGAATATTTAAAGTATTTTGTACAATTTCTATGTTTCTATATCTCTTAACCTCTCTTTTATATTCTCTAGTACAGTTCTCAATTTTGCATGTATCAGAATCATCTGGAGAGCTTCTTAAAAGAGATTACTGATCCCTGTCCTTAGAATCTCTGATTCCACAAATCTAGGACAGAGCTTAAGAATTTCATTTCTAACAAGTTTTCAGTGATGCTGAAATTCTGATGTGAGGACTACACTTTGAGATTTACTGCTCTAGTTCTTATATCTCTGTGCTGGATTCAGATGATTTCTTCAAATTTATCCTCAGTTTACAGATTAGCCATGTCTGATTTGCTAGTTATCATCTCCTACGTTTTAAATTTCAATGACTAGTCTTCATTTATAGAAATTCTGTTTTTTTAAAATCTCTTCTGTTTATTCATGGCTTCTTATTATTTTTTGGTTTATTTTCTGTATTTTGTCTTCGATCCTTTTAATCTCATTTTTTATAGTTATTTAAGAACCTATTTCAGATTGTACCATTATATCAAGTTCTGTGATGTTATTTTGTGTTGTGCCAATAGACTGCCTATTAGATAGAATCATTTCTTCATGTATTGGGTGACTTTTGATAAGAGGTTATCGTTGGCAAGAATTATTTGTCCATGAGAGTTTTGCTCATGCTGGATTATAGTAGTTTCTGTTTTATTGATTAAATCTGGAGTTTTATTTCTGCCAAGAGCTTGCAAAACTTAATAAGCCTAGACCTATTTTAACAATAAGTTCTCATCACGTAATTTATGCACCATGTGTGGTGTAAATTTGGATCCCAATTTTGGATTCTATGGGGGATATCTTATTTTAGTTTTACACCTCAGGTTCTGGAGGAATACCAGATGAGCAGAATTTTCTCTATTCCCTTTTGAATTGAGGACGGTTGATATGTGTGTGTGTGTGTGTGTGTGTGTGTGTGTGCACACATGCATTCATGTGGGCAATTTCTCTTCTAGTTTTTCTACCAAATAAGGTCAAGATTTTAGAAACACAGCAGCATGTATAGAATTGACCACTACCTACATCCTAAACTGGACTGTAAAGTATTATCACTTTTTTTCAGAAATCAGTATTTTAGGCTCTGGAATTTTTGTGCCATTTGCCTTTCATATTTTAATCTAATATTTATTATCTTAAACTGATATTTATTTCTATATATGAAGCTGGGGACATACACATCAGCTGAGTCTTATGAATATTGGGAATTTGTATTATTTAGTAATCCAAAAAATAAAATTTAAAAAAAATTGAAATGGGGTATTAATCAAGGAATGTGCACTTATGATCTGTACACTTATTGTATTTCATATATATATATATATATATATATATATATATATATGGAGAGAGAGAAAGAGAGAAGTTTTAAGTATAGGTAGCAAAAGCTACTTATACTGAATATTTATAAACAAGCATGCCCTATATTTAAGATTTACATCTTCTGGGTATGTTAACTTTCTTCTTCTATTGGCTACTTTTTACACCAGTCATTGTTGTAATAAAATTACCGATTTAAAATGTTTTCTGTTTCTTGAGAGTCAAAGAAAAGTTGAATTTACTATCACTTTTAAGCAGTGATAGAACTGACAAGCAATTGGACTAACATGTAAGTGCTCTGGTGCCATTATGATAGACAGTTTCCCAGTTCCACAGAAATCACAGTGTGTAGGTACCCCTAGCTTTTTATTTACTGGTATGTTCCAGCATATAGAATAGTACATGGCATAAAGTGGATATTTAATAAAATTGTTGAACAATGACATGAAGCTGTGAAACTGATCTAATCAAGGAAATAATTGTGACATTTGTAATCAAAGTCTGACATTCCACATATTAATTTCCAATCAGAGCTCTAGCCCCTGAGTCCCCTTTCCTAACTGAAACCCAGAGAATGTTCTAAACCTGACATGAATGTGAAGTAATGGCAAGAATGAGGGTGCTCTGTGGAACTACGACTATTTGTGAAACTCACCACTGCTTAAAACCTTAACTTTGCTGAGATTTATGCTCTTTCTAATGAAACAACTGCCCTTCGGATTAAAAAATATCCCATTGTTTAAGTGTCAGGCAGTTAGATTATTGTTTTAACAATCCCATAAAGAGGAAACGTGAGCTCACATGCAGAGGCTGGTTAATTTGCTAGTCACTAAGGTCACAACCTGGGCAGAGGATAGGATGAAAGTCAGCACTATTAGAAAGGTCCACTCAGAGCCACAGACATATCCAGTGTTCTTGCTTTTCCCTCACAGACAGAAATCTTGTTACTGGATAGGAGCAGGTAACTGACATAAGGAAAAATCAGCCTTCTTCCAATAGTCTCTAAATATTTGGCCATGGGGTCACATCTGGGCTTTGATTAATGAAAATTTCCCATAGAATCTTGCAGGTGTTTAATGAGTATTCCCAGAGTGTAATCATTTGTATGATTTTAATAAATTCTTCAATGGAAAGTGAGGTAAGGCTGGATTAGATTTTGCCAGTTATCTGCTAAGTTAAAATCAAAGCTTTTAGCCTCCTGTTATTCTTTAATTCGAAGAGTTTTTCTTTCCCAGTTTGTCCATCAGGAGTCAGCACCTCAGAGATCTTTTATTTTAGTCCCAGCATGATCTAGGGGCCACTTCTAAGACTAACAGAGCACACTGAATATACACTAGTATTACATTTACTGTGACTTTTATTAGTAATTAATTAACATACTAGTATTTCCTACTAGATACTATGCTCCTTGAGAATAAGGTCCGAATCTCATTTTCATAAACCTAGTAGCTGACACGGTACCTGGCACGTCACCTACTCAATACATATTTGTTAAATAAATGCATGATGCTCCACCTCACCCTACATGATGATTCTCAGCAAAAGCCTCCAAGAATCCAGCAGCATGAAAAAATCCTTTCCTCATGAGATCATTCCTTCCCGCTATTATGGAAAGCATTTGAAATGTCTCTCTGTGTAAGCCAGATGGATTCAAATTAATATAGCTAGAACAATGTGGCTCATCAAAAGTTAAAATTAAAATACAATGGGGGTCCAGTTTTTCTTTGTTAAAGTCCTCATATTCTTTTTCTTAAAATGCTAAAATATTTTGTTAAAAACAGAATATTGGAATGCTTAACATGTAGTTTGCTAGTTAGTTTTGTTTCTTCTTGAAATTTTCCTCCAAGGGGTGGCAGACAGAAAAGTAAATGTTGTATTGGAATTTGTTTTATTTAATCAGTTAATGATACAGAATCATCTCCTTTCACCAAAGTGGGTCCCCTGATTAACGAATCTCTTTTGGTTGTCATGACTAAACATTCTCGGGAAGTGGGAGAGGTGGGCAGGAATAGGGGGCACAGAGACATCAACCAGGAATTTCAGTAAGCCAGACCTGGGTCGGGCACACTGTTTCTCTACTTTCGTTGTCCTCATCTACTGAATAAGGGTCTTGATCTAGAATATTTCTTCCAGTTTTAACATGCCATCCTCTCTCTGAATTCTGAAACAATTCTGCCCTCTCTGGCACCATTATCACCAACTGATGACAGAGGAATCATATAGTTGCAAGGGATCTACCGGGCTTAAGATACAGAAGTAGGGTCAGAGTCAGAGTTTGGGCTGCTGCATCTGCACACAGTCAGGTACCGTCAGGATCCTCCATGTGCACACCCTTCCTGGGAATGCAGGATTTTCAAATACCAGCATGTTTTCAGGGGATTCTTCTGTAAGGCGGCAGGGTAGGGGTAGAAGAATGGTACATAGCAGGGAACATGAAAAGGAAGGGTGGGATACAGTTATTACCATGCTTACTACCTATTAATCTATCAATCATTAAACACTTACTGTATACCAGGCACTGTGCTGTGAACTTCCACCTCCAAACTCAATCCTCAAAATAAATCTGTGAATTAGGTACTGCTTTGAGTCCATTATACAGATGGAGAAATTAAGCCTCAGAAATAACACAGATTTTAAGTGGTGTGAATGGTAAACCCAGGCAGTCTGACTCCAGGGGCCAACCTCATAACCATTGACCTATAAAGAGTTTCTCACTTTTGCTAGTTAAAGACAAATAAACAAATGAAACACAGTGGGAAGGAACGATCTGACAAGTTCCCACATTCTCAATGTGAGCATCAAAACCTGCTCCAAAGAACCTTTGTCTCGAGTTCTTGGAGCAGTTCCTGCACCTGCACCTGCACCTGCAAAGAGCCCTGAATGTGAGATGGTGCAGGATCAACTCTGAAATGTAGTCCAGAGAGCTAAATCAATAACATATAAACAATGATAATGTTTGATTTTCTGGAGAGATATATATATATAAAATTGAAGTAAAATGGAACTCTGCAGGAGCCTAATTTTAAAACATCAATTTCTCAATGATCATGTTAATGCATAAAATGTTTTCTTTTCTTGAGTGCAGGATTTGCAAATACTTTCTCTATAATTTGATGCCATTATCAAACTTAATTCAATGACACACTGATTTGTTATTCATTCATTTATTCAACAAACATTTATTGAATGCTTTCTGCATGATGGGCACTGTCCCACACCCTAAAAAAGAGTTACAGAAAAATTAGACAACAATCGCTGGCCTCATAGAGTTTATGTCATGGTAATATTAAAGGCTCTGAAGTTTTATCATTCTGGTTTTATCTATCATCTGAGTATTGGTGGAGAGTAGAATGTTATGACCTTGGTTCTTAGGATCTGGGAGCTACATGAGGAAAATTTTTGCCTAGAATCTTAAAGAAGCTTCCCTATTCCCCACTCTTCTTTAGAAGTTTCTTAGGCCAATAATCTAGAACAGAGAAAAAATATAGAGCAACTTAATCCGCAGAGTCTAGAATCTCTGGCTCTGAAAGAAGACTTGATGAGAAAAGCTTACTTTTCTGTTTTTCTTTCCTTCAATGTCATTATGGCCAGCATAAGTTTCTTAGACAAAAGTATGTATAGTATCAGATGAAACAAGACAGTCATGTTGGGCCACAATGAGGGGGATAGCCTTTAATACACTTGTATTATAATAAATTTTTGATTTCTTAGTAAGTGTTCTTCTCCATGTTTAATGGTCTCACTTCATTTTTTTCCAGGGTACCATGAATTGCTAGGCCCAGTTACCATAAATCTGTTGGGCTTGAGCACTGTAAAACATGGCAGAGCATGAATAGTATACAGATGTGGGTATCGGGGCATGACCAAGTGTATACTGATTTTCCAGAATTAAATCCACGGTTGTCTTCATTTTTCAAAATTAAAACACAAACATAAATCACTGTGTTTTATCAGGAAACATTTCACTGTCTAGATGTAAGTAGTCACCAGGAAAGAGTGTATAGCTTGAATTTTGATCTTCCTTGGTTTCTTTTAGGATCTCTGCAATTTTAAAGTGACATAGGGTCAAAAATCAAAGCATCTTTTTGATGCTAACTTATCTCCTTTCTTTGGAGATTTATGATGATATCTTAATGGTCCATGAGCCTGTGCCTAATCTTTGTTAAGTCACTTAAAATTTTCCTTTAATTGCAATGGGTGGCTACATTTCATAAAATCATAGAATTGGAAGGTAACTTAGGTGACACACACACACACACACACACACACACACACTTGAAATCCCCGTGTGTCCTTGGCCAGTGCTCAATCAATATTTTATTTCACTGATTCTAGTAAATGTAACCTGTATCTGAAGGCCACCTTTTCTTTTTGAGCATATTTTTAATAAGAAAGTTATTTAGTTATTATAATACATTTCATGTTTACTTCTATTGCTGTTTTGTATTTTCTGGCTCCACGTGAAATAGCATGTCCACTTCCATGTGAGAGTCCTTCCTGCATTTGAAGAAAGCTTTTAGAAACTTTCAGTTTTCATGATGCTTGCCCTTTCTATTCATTGTTTCTCCAAACAATCAAAATGTATTTTTAGCATTTTGCCTAGATTACAGAATCAGAATATAAAATGTCCTGAATCCTAACATCCCCAAATCATCACTGTAAATGTTTGACTGCTGCCTGTATGTTTAGTTTCAGAAGAGCCCATAGCCTTGCTGAGATTCTATCATGCTGTAAGACTACTCCATCCTAGATTTACGGTTTCCTTCAATATATGGGGTCAGATGACAACTACCCACTAAAAGTCAAGTATTAATATTTTCTTTTACAAATCCTTGATCTACATTTTGTGGTACACACAATAAATAAATACCAGAAGCTGGAACTATGGCCTCTATCCCCTGTAGCACTCCTGCAGCACTTCTGTGCAGTCTTGGTTTAGAAACTATTGGGGACATAAAAGAAGGAAAGAGCATCTGCCGCCAAGAAACACACAGTTTACTTGAGGAGTCATGGTACCTGGAGGACATTATGCTAAGTGAAATGAAAGAAAAATATTGTATGGTCTCTCTTATATGTGAAATCTAAAAAGTCTAACTCATAGGAATGGAGAGTAGAACTGTGGTCACCCAGGAACTGGGGATTGGGGAAAATGGGGACATGCTGATCAAATGGTACAAACTTTTAGTTATAAAATGACAAATTCTGGCAATCTAATGTACAGCATGGGTGGTATTTGAAGTGTTAATTTGATTTTGACAGTCATTACACAATGCACAGATGTTCTTTGGCTTGTGGTGGGGCTACATCCTAATAAATCCATTGCAATTTGAAAATAACATCGTCTGAAAATCATCTAACACAAAGCCTATTTCATAATAAAGTGTTGAATATCTCATGTGGTTTACTGAAAGTGAAAAACATAATAGTTTTATGAGTACTGTATAAATGCATATCACTTTTGCACCATTCTAAAGTTGAAAAAATGTAAATTGAACCAGCATAAGTTGGGAACTATCTGCATACATATATCAAATCATGTTGTACACCTTGAATATATACAATTTTTAATAAGTTATGGCAGATGGTCATTAAGTAAAGAACAAAATATATAACACATTTGTGTGACATCAACTTCTGTGATTGTGTTTTGTGTGTGTGTGTGTGTGTGTATGTGTATTTGTGTGAGACGGTAGAAATCAATATAACAGGGTTATTTGGAAAATTATTTCTAAGAGAGGAGGAATGCAAGTTTACTACTTTGATTACTTCAAAATATAAATCATCTGAAAGAAGAATGCTAATGCTTGGTATTTAAACATTTATATTCCCTAAATTCCAGTAAAGCATGGGATTTTGCTATATCTTAATGATTTATGTGCTTTGAATTTCATGTTTAAAAGAGAAATAATGTGGGGAGCATACACTGTAGAGCCTTAATGCAAAATTATTTTCCACTTCCTCATTGCCCCTATTCATCTAGTAAGACTTCTTTTTTTTCTCCATGGTCAGCTAAATAACTGTGGAAGATAATAACTCATGGATGTGAACTTCATTGTCATTTTTGCATGTGTAGATATGTCCCTTGCTTTCTCAAATCCATGACCACAACTCTAAACTCTAGCAGGTACCAGAGGACGTAAGAAGTAGTAATAGAGTATTATGCAACATGAAAGGTTCAGGAACACCACAACTTCTGGTTTATTCTTTGCTTTTTACACCTTTATGTAAATATTGATTTAGATAAATATTAGAGGAGTGGTAGCTATACGTGTGATTTTGCAGTTTTGTTTTCTACTTACTCTTTCTTGACTTATAGGAGAAATATAGCCAAAACAAGAGCTGCAGTGTCATAATGCAAAATAAAGTTAATTAGTTCACACACACACACACACACACAAACACACTCACACCCCAACATCTGTGATGGCTGAGAAATTAAAAATAGAACAGAATGAGAGTTTGGGTGACATATTCCAGCTTGAATCTTTAAGAGCAGTTTAGCTGAGGCCCTTTGATGAAAAATTACATTGTGCTTCTTTTGCTACCATCTTTGTTTTAATTTCTAATCCAAACCTTAAATCTTGACAGATTGGTGGGGGTGGAAAGAAAAACAGGGCTTCTTGCTTCTAGCAGAGTCTCAATGTCCTGCTGAGTTTCCTGCCAAATCTGCAGGAATCCATATAGCCACCACTGCCCTATTAAGTGGGTCGTGAGACCCCATAGCTAGAAAAGACTTCCATATGCTGTCCATTTCAGTTCTACCCCATATCTGTTGCAATCATACTCCTGGCTGGCATGAACCTAAATCCTAAACTGGTTTTTATTTTTCTTATTTTAAATATTTAATTGACAACATTGCATATATTTAAGATGGATAATGCAATGGTTTGATACATGTGTAGACTGTGTAATCTTACCACAATCAAATTAACACATCCATCAGTAGCCATAGTTATCATTTGTGTGTGTAGAGGGCTGAAGACATTTAAAATCCACTGTTACCATACAGTGTTATTAACTATAGTCACCATGCTATCCATTAGTACTCACAACAATTCGTCTTACAACAAAAAGTTATTACCCTTTTTACAAAGTTTTAGTCTGATCGGATGGTGACTACAGTTAATAGTAATGTATCATATACCTGAAACATGCTGAGCAAGTAGATCTTAAATGTTCTCCACACAAACAATTAAGTACGTGAAGTGATGCATATGCTAATTAGGTTGATTTAAACACTTCACAACACATATATCAAAAAATTACATTGTTCATACATATATATGATTTATATTTGTCAATTATACCTTAACAAAACTGAACAATAATTTTAAAAATTTCGTACCCTATGAACAATATCTCTCCACTTCCTCCACCCTTCAGCCCCTGACAACCACTGTTCTACTCTCTGCTTCTATGAGTTTTACTTTTTTAGATTCCATACATAAGCGAGATTATATAGTATTTTTCTTTCTCTGTCTGGTTTATTTCGCTTAGCATAATATCCTCCAGGTTTATCCATGATGTAACAAATGGCAGAATGTCCTTATTTTTATGGCTGATAAATATTCCATGATACATGTGGCATCCATTAATGGACACTTCGATTATGTGTAGCCGTTGACTATTCTGAATAATGATGCAATCAACATGTGGTGCAGATATCTCTTCTATATACTGATTTCAAGTTATCAAGATATAGCCCCAGAAGTATATATTGCTGGAAAATATAATCATTCTATTTTTAATTTTTTGAGGAACCTCTATACTATTTTCCATAATGGCTGTGCCAACTTACATTCCCACTAATGGTGTACAAGGGTTTCCTTTCTCCATACCCTGGCCAACACTTGTTATCTCTTGTCTTTTTGATAATAGCCATCCTAACAAGAGTGAGGCAATATCTCACTATGGTTTTGATTTGAATTTCCTTGATGATTTGCGATGTTGAACACCTTTTTCATATACCTGTTGGTCATTTGTATGTTTTCTTTAGAAAAATGTCTATTAAGGTTTTTTGTTCATTTTTAAATCGGGTTTATTTGTATTTTTATATTGTCATATATATTGAGTTATTTGGATTCCTTATATATTTCCATATACCTTGTCAGATACATGGTTTGCAAATATTTTTCCCACTCTGTAGGTTGCCTTTTCATTTTGTTGATTTCTTTTTCTTTTTTGTTGAGATAGGGCCTTGCTCTGTCACCCAGGCTGCAGTGCACTGGCATGAATACAGCTCACTGCAGCCTGAACCTCCCAGGCTCAAGCAATCCTCCCACCTCAGCCTCACAAGTAACTGTGACTACAGGCATGCATCACCATGCCCAGCTAATTAAAAAAAATGCAGAGATGGGGTCTCACTATGTTGGTGAGGCTGGTCTCAAACTACTGGGCTCAAGGCATCTTCCTGCCTCAGCCTCCCAAAGTGCTGGAATTACAGGCATTTGACATCATGTCCAGATGATTGTTTTCTTTTCTATGCAGAAGATTTTTTTTTTTTTAATTTGATGTAGTCCCACTTGTTTATTTTTGCTTTTATTGTCTATGCTTTTGGTGTCATATCCAAAAAGTGATTGCCAAGACCAATATCATGGAGTTTTCCCCTATTTTCTTCTAGGAATTTTATGGCTTCTGGTCTTACATTTAAATCTTTAATCTATGTCGAGTTAGTTTTTTAATATGGTATATAAGAAGTGTGCAATTTCATTCTTTTACACATGGATATCCAGTTTTCCCATCGCCCTTTATTGAAGAGACTATCTTTTCCCCATTGTGTATTCTTGGCAGTCTTGTCAAAGTGTAATTAATCATATATGAATGGGTTCATTTCTGGGCTCTCTATTCCTGTCCATGAATATATGTGTCTGTTTGTGCCAGTACCGTGATGTTTTGATTACAATAGCTTTGTAATATATTTTAAAATCGGGGACTGTGATGCCTCCAGCTTTTTTGTTCTTTCTTAAGAATTGCTTTGGTTATTTGGGCTATGTAATGGTTCCATCCAAATTTAGATTGTTTTTTCTATTTCTGTGAAAAATGTCACTGGAATTTTGATAAGGATTGCATTAAGCATATAGACCTCTTTGGGTAGTATGAACATTGTAACAATATTAATTCTTCCAGTCCAATCCACAGAATAGTTTTTCATTTATTTATGTCTTCAATTTCTTTATTCAATATCTTACAGATTTCAGATAGTTTGTTGTTAGTGTATAGAAAACAACTGATTTTTATATGTTGATTTTGTATCCTGAAATGTTATTGAATTCCTTTCTTAGTTCCAACAGTTTTTTGGTGATCTTTAGGGTTTTCTATATGTAATATCATGGCATCTGCAAACAATTTAACTTCTTTTTTATGACTTTAATGTCTTTGATTTCTGTGCCTTTTATCCCGTGTAAGGTCAATGCTCATTATTTACTTATATGATCACATTTCTAAGTAGACATTGTAATTATTCCCACTTTAATTATAATGAAACTGAATATTAGAGCGATCAAGTGACTTGGCCCAGATGCTTCATTAATTAAATGGTAAAGCCAGATTTAAATTCAGATCTTTCTTTCTCCAAAGCTCACGCTGTTCACTAGCAAACTATACTGTCATCTTTTAACTTAAAATATAGAATCTCATTAAAATGCATATTACCCTGGAGATTAAGAAGTTGGAAAGGAAGTGATAAGGGGATCCTAACAAAGGGAGTTTTTCCCTTACTGTAATCTCCTAGGGCTGCTGTAACCAAGTACTGCTAAATATATGGTTTAAAAGGACAGAAATGTATTCTCTCACAGTTCTGGAGGCTAGAAACCTGAAACAAAGGTGTCAGCAGGCTCCTGCTCCCTCTAAGGACTCTATTTAAGAATGTTTTTGTGTCTTTTCCAGCTTCTGGCGATTACTGGCAGTTCTTGCTGTTCTTTGAACTGTAGCTTTATCATCCTAATATCTAATTCAGTTGTTATGTGGCCTTCTTTCCTCTGAGTCTTTGTGTCTCTGTGTCTTCACATGGCCTTCCATAAAGGTGTCAGTCATTGGATATAGGGCTCACTGTACCTAGTATGATACTATCTTAACTACTTATGTCTGTAAAGGCCCTATTTCTAAATACGGTCACATTTATCGGTACTGGGGTTTAGGACTTCAGTTTATCTTTACGGAGGACACAAGTTAACCCACAGCACTACCTTCCCATTTTCTTCTTTAGCTATGATTCCTTCAAAAGTTATGTTTGGGTTAGCTGGTGATTATTATATTTCTTGTAGGATGTAAAAAGACCATTAAAACTGTCTTTCCACTCAATCCAAAGGATTTTTAAATAAATTAGTGGGCAGAACAAAATCTTCCATTGCCTTATATTTCCCCAGGCCTATCTTTTGAGCAAATATATGAGCTGTTCATTAAAAGAGCTGCATATCGGAGAGATGCTCATTGTGTGCAACTGCACTCTACTACTAGAGAAGGAAAGGAAATAAGTAAGACCACCTAAAGCTACACAGAATATTCAGGGGGTGATATAGTGTTATCTTTCCTAACGTAGTGCACATTGCTATTTGTTGATTGTTAAATAAACAAGGATCATTCTTCCCTTGGAAGGTCTCAGTATGGTTTGAGGAACCCTGGGAAATATCATGCCATCTCACTATTTCATTCGTACTTTTCTATTCTTTATTTATAAACTGCCTTGTTCCAACAATGATTTAAAATAACAAGCTATAATAAATGTAAACTAAAGAAAATAAAAGGATGTAGATGATAATATTTTAGAGTCTGGTTCCTCCAAAACAAATGTTGTACTCTCCACTTGATCATTTTGGTGTCCCATAAATTAGTTAAAATTTGGGTATATTAAAAATATAGTGAAATGCTATAACTAGAATATTGTGTCGCTAGTTGAATCCTGGAACAAATAGCTGTACTTTAAAGGGAAGTGATATATTTGAAAAGGATTGGTGAGTTGTTTTTATCTAATCTTTCTGGGTGCTAGATGCTTGGCTGCTTGCAGTGAAACGTGGTCCTCAAAAAGTGAGGGACCTATGGCCTTTTGGTCATTTCTCCAGGGCAACCTGAGGCAAGAGAGCAAGCATGTATCAGGTCATACAACTGCCATCTATTTGCTGAACCCTGATCACAGAAACACTGTGCCACTTGTGATTCAAGTCAAGATCCACTTTCCTTGGTGACCAAGAAGCAGAAAGACGTTAACTAATTTTCCTTTTTCAGTGTCAGTATTTGCCATACCTGCTCTAGAATGGTGAAAATCCATTGGTTGAGAATGCTTCTCTTTCTTCCCACTTGATTTAGGAAAAATAAGAGGGTCCACTAAATCGTGTTTGTTTGTTTGTTTCCTTTTCCCTATGATTTTTTTTAAAAAATGGTTGAATTGTTTAAGTTGCCTTCATTAAGAGAAAAATGGTTCTTGGAAAAGCATTTATCATCAGTCATTATGTTGGGACAATAGGCATAAACTAGGATTTTCCCAGGCACCCCAGAACATGTGGCTATGCTGTATGTAAGTATCATCAGTGTATATTTATAGCATTGCAGCAAACTCTGATTCCGTAAAAGCAATTCTATGGTGAGCAGGTAGGAGGGATAGATTGGACAAGTTTGTTTCTCAGATGGTCTGACTCAATGGAAGGATAGATTTTAGAGAACCCAGTGTCATCAAGAGGTAGCATATTCTCCAAGCAGTCCTCCACTAGTACTTTCTTTCTGATGAATTTTGAAACCTGAGCTCCTGGGAATCTGAGATTACCTTTCTTGAGAATTTCTTGGATTGAGGGTTTTCCAGATTCACAGTCAAATGCAGCATCTTAGCCTTTAATAATCAAATATAACCGAGTATAAATTGACCTTTTCTTTAAAGAAATGTATGGATACCAACACACACTGAAATAGGAGGCCTTGCTTCATATGCTCTGATGTGAGCAACATTTGCTTCTACTTTGCAAGCAATGAATGCTTTGGCTTATTGGCAGCTAGTCTCTCTCTACCTTTTCCACACTGTACATTTGTCTACCGATTATCTGGGTGCTGAACAGACTCTGCCTGGAACTTATGGCATGTACTCTATGAGGCATTCCATCATCTTGATTTCATTGTCATTAAAAAGTCCCTGGCAACTCAGATGTTGAATGCTCATAGCAGGTCTGCCTGGTGGGGCACCTGTCCTCTTAGTCACCATTGGCCCTCTCAGTCATGGTTTCTTTTAATTGGCAATATTATCAAAACGTTCATTTCATTCATAATACCATCAACTTTTCTAGTCTGAAATAATTTCAAAGTTCATCAAGTTCACATACTTTTTTTTTAGAGTTAGGGAAATTGAAGTGTAGAGGTCATATGAGCTCTTAGTAGCAAAGCCCGTAATAGAATCCAGACATCTTGACATCTAGCTTAATCTATTTTCTGCTTTTGTAAATTTCAGGCAGTTCTGCTGAAAAAGATTGAACACACTTGGTTCACACATCCCTCTTCCTCAAACATCTTTTTATGGGTTAATTTCTGTCATTAAAAAATGTATTTTTCATGTCTCCCAGAATGTATCAACTGCAGGCAAGTTCAGGTAAAGTTCTCCATTTGCTTTTTCAGTTGACTTACATAAATAGGATTTATTCTCCAGGCTTGATATCACCTGAGATATTATAGCTCTCATGACTTTGGAATGTATCTGGTTGTGGTCAGATAAATACTAAGCACCCCCAGAGCTTCTTTAATCTGAAAATCTTCTAGAATGGGGGTCTGCAAACTGTAACCCGTGAGCCACATCTGGTATGCTGCCTGCTTTTGTAAATAGTTTTATCAGCCATGCTCATTTGTTCACAAAGCCTGCTTTCAACTACACCGGCAGAGTTGAGTAGCAGTGACAGAGAATGTTTAGCCTGCACAGCTTGAAATATTTAGTCTGACCCTTTATAGAAAAGGTTTGCCAACTGCTGCTTTGGAAACTATAAAAATCCCTTCTAATAATCAAGATTCTGTTTGTCAGATACTATTTCTTTTTTATTTTCTACAAGAAAAGCATTAGGTAATTTTAGAGTCATGCTAAGGTTTGTAAATAGACAATTTAGTTAATGACTTCCAGAACAATCCATGATGTTTTCCTTTTTGTTGTATGGTCATTCTTCCTGTGTTCTTGAATATTCATTTTTCCTGAAAGCTGACAGGTAATTATAAATTGAAATGACATCTCTTACATAAACATGGATGGTTTCTCTTTTTACATGTAAGAACCTGAAGATACAAATGTGTCTTTGATTTGTGAATTGACATTTGCAAGGCCTTAATGAATTATCCATAAGAAGAATATGGGAGAAATCAACATGCTTTGAAATTACTCTTGAGTTTTGTGCCTACTCTTGTTCTTAGTGAAGATGCTGAGGCAATAGATTTTTTTTTTAGTGATTATATTCATAGAATTGGCTTTGTAGTAAATTGCCAAAGTCTTGGATAATTTTTTGAGAAATTTTCAAGCAAATCTAATAAACAACCCGGCACCATTTATAAAGCTGACTTAATTTTGTTAGGTGCATTTCACCATTCAGCCTAATCATATTCTAAACAAGAAATAAATATCTGCAATTTGTATGCTTAGTCTTTTTCTTCCAATTTTCTCCAACAACACTGGTCAGTATTTCAATGACTTTTCTTAGTGTTGATATTTTAGGCAGTAGTTACTTTGTTACTGAATTCTGCAATGACTAATCACCATCACTCTGAAACTATCCTTCCTTCATCATAGTCTTGAGTCGCTTAACAGTGGGAATATGTTTGAAAACGTATTCTTTAGGTGATTTTGTCATTGTGCAAACATTATAGAATGTAAAAGATTTAAAAAACACAAAGGTACGCCTATGTAAGGTACTTACTGTGACTGAAGCGTTCAGGACTAAATGTTGCTCTGGGTGAGTGAGTGGGTGAGTGAGTAGTGAGTGAATGTGAAGGCCTAGGACATTGCTGAACACTACTGGAGACTTTGTAAACACTGTATAATCAGGCTACAGTACATTTATAAACAAATATTTTTTAATAATAAATTAACCTTACCTGTAATTTTTTACTTTATAAGCTTTTAATTTTTTAACTTTTTGATTCTTGTAATAACTTTCAGTTCAAAACACAAACACACTGTATAGCTGTACAAAAATATTTTCTTTCATTATATCATTATTCTATAAGCTTTTTTCCATTGCAAATTTATTTATTTTACTTTAAAACTTTTTGTTAAAAATTAAGACACAAACACACGTATTAGCCTAGACCTACAAAGGATCAAGATGATTAAGATATCATCAGGTGATAAAAAGTTTTCAGCTCCATAATAAATCTTATGGAACCACCATCATATATGTGATCTGTTCTTCACCAAAACATTGTTTGGTGCATAACTGTACTATAGTTGCTTATTTTAAAATCACTCTTTCATTCGACTGTATGTTCTGTGAAATCAGACACCAACTATATACTCTTCACTGTTGTATCCTCATTTCCTCATTTATTAGTAACTTCTTTATTCTGGACACATTATTGAGCATGTGCTATTGAGCTATGCTAATCCTGAAAAGGAGCAGTTTGAAGCAATCATGTCCCAGTCCTCCTGGAGTTTGCAATTATTTCCTAGCACAGTACTGAGCATATAGAAATTGCTTAGAGTTCCTCATTGAAGAAATACATTAATGAAGGATATTAGTGTTTGGTACTAAATCAGTAACAATTACAGTTAATTTTCTTTTATTCCACAGCTACAAGCCTCACATCTCAATAAGTAAGACTATTGATAACAAAAAGGATGAGAAATAGTATAGTTCAACACTCATCCACTGCTAGAAAAATAATACCTCACATATTATGAATGATGCAGAAAAGCTGAACTTAAATTTCATTTCCCATTATAATTTTTAAGTAAACATTTGTATTTATTGGGTATAAATGCCAAGATATTTATAGGGGCCTCTAAAGGCCCATACAATCTGTCTCCCCTGGAATTATAACCCATATCCTACATCTCTCCCCTTCATTCATTCTGCTCTCACCACACTGGCCTCTTTGTTCTTCAATCATGTCAGATGTGTTTCTGCCTCTAGATCTTTATTCTCTTTCCTCTATCTGAAACATTCTTCTTCAAAGAATGCACAAGGCTTACATTCTCAGCTCCTTTGCTCAGATCTTACTTTACTCATGTTGTCTTGTCAGAGACCCTTTCTCTGACTTTCCTATCATAAGTTTAATACCCACCTCCCCAGGTACTAACTATACTCACTTTCTGCTGGCTTTATTCATTCATTTGTTTCTGCATTTATTTATTTTTATTTTTAATTCATCCTTCTGTCCATCCTTTCATGTGTTCATTCACATATATTCAGCTATTTACATTCTTGGACTATAGTTACTACAGATTTAAGGGTCATTTGTATGTATTACGAGAAGCAAAGTTATATCAACATGGGTAAGGTAATGGAGAGTGCCTTGGCAAAATACAAATACAAATTTAATGCTATTAACATTCAAAAGAGTAGTGGTTACTGAATATTTCAATAATATCAAAAAAATCTAGTCTCTGTTTCTTAATAAATTTAGAACTCATCTGAACGAAAGCCATTGGCTACAAATGTTCATAGAATGGTTTCCAAATATTCTATAATCAATCTCTGTGCAACATTCGAGCAAATGTTGTGTGCAAATGACTCATGTATTTTTTTTCCGACATTTTAGGTCCTGAGGTATGACCTTTTCACTCTACTCCCAAATTTCAAATGGTTATGCTTACTAGAGTCCAGGCTGAAACATTGTTCAGGGTTGAAACAGGTGAAAGCTAGAAGCTACAGACTTTTGCCTTTTGATCGTATTGTCTCAATGCAGAAGTCCTTGAAAGCATCTTTTAAATTTTATCAACCCAAATGCCAAAACTTGCTGTACTCCCTGGAAAATGTTCTGAAAATTCTTAACCCACAGTGACAACTTCACCAAACCTAGGACCAGCAACTCAGGCATGCAAGTATGACATATTGTTTCCTATGCTATTCCTACATGGGCTTGGCTAAGATAAATACATCCTACTACATAAATCTCAATATCTATGTGGAGTTATGTGAATTATGTTGTGTAAAAACAGGCCAACATTTCAAAATTCAAAATCACTACTTTGATAATGATAAGACTACATTAGAGGAAGCATATGCAGGTACAGCCTGACACCTCATCGAAACATTGTCTTGTAATCTGCAAGCCAGAGGAGCCACTTGACTTTTAGTAGATGAGAAAACATGACACTTAGCTGTGGAGGGGAAATTGGACTTTATTGTTAGAAATTAGCCATTTGGGAAATTGTACTGATAACACATCTTAAAGGACTATGGTACCTATCCAGGACAATATTTTGACTAAAAATCAAATTATAATTTTTGTTCATAGAAGTGTTTCAAAATCTACAAAGAGATTACAGTGTTGTGAAGATTTTCTTTGGGAGAGAGGAATAAAACTTTAAGAATTTCTTCAAAAGTTGCATTTTATGTTTAAGAATATGAACCCAGTCTAGAGTTCTGTTGATTATGGATGCAGATTTTATTTTCAGTGTGTGTAGATGTTTGTAGCCATCTTATATCCACATATAATTGTTTATTTGCATGTTCTGAGGGTACCACATAATTTTTGAACATGCCATGGAAAGTTATTTTTTTCTCCCAGTCCAGCTGTTAGCTTGCTTAGTGTCCTTCTCAGACATCCTACACACTCTTTGGTTGCTGTTGGAGACAGTTTGATACCACAGTCTGTGATCATGGACCCTTCTGCCCAGGGAATGCATGACACATTTGCTGTTGGAGAACTGTAGTTCACAAGCCCAAGACTAACAGGTCTCCCTAAGCTTGCATGGTTCCACAAGAAAGCAGGAAGTAAAGCGTGGTTGAGTAGAACCTGTTGGTTTGCAGATCTCATTCCTAGTTTAGAGTAAATCAGTCACAGAAGATGCTGAAGGCAGCTGGTTTCTCAATCTCATCTGAAAATTGTAGTCCTATCATCATATATTTTCTACAGTAAGTAGAAATATATATGATTGAATCTATTTCCATTAGTTTTCTCATTTAATAAATTAAGTCAACATTCTCTCTTTCACCCTGAGGCTTTCTCTCATCAACAAATACATAATTGAGCTTTACTAGAAGCTGTGAGCTTCTTCAGTGGCCTGCATTTTGCCTTGGATCCCAGTACTGGATATCCTACTAGAAATGTTGGCTGTTCTTTCCTAAAGGCATGTTGAAGCCTTCAGTCCAGGAACGTATGACCAAGGAGCAAGCCAAGAGCAAGGGCAGAGTCAACTGAATGGCACAATCAGCAAATTTGGGGTAAGTCAACTTTTCCTAGACCCTAGCCTTGGCACTAGCTCCACTGCGTTCATTTCATAGATGCTGTTCTCATGGCCTTAATATTTTCTCCAGGCCCTTGTAAAACAATATGCATGGGATCATCAAAATCTGTGATGATTTCCATCAGGAGCCACAAACATCCTATCCCATGTTATTATCATTAAGATTATGTAGAAGTCATTGAAATTGTGGTTAGAAACAAATGTGGTATCCATTTGTAGATGTAATTGTTAATGGGATTTAGGCTTGAGAAAATACTTTACAAAGGTTGAAGCAAATCCTTTATTATCTGGATTATTTTTCTAGAAATCATCTCTGCTTCTGCCTACAGAGCTCAGAGACAGGCTAGACATGGATCGAAATTCCCATGTCTATAAATGTAGGGCTGAACTACAGGTAAACAACAGGTTAACTAATATTGACTTTAGTAAAACAAGTGTCATCTCAATTGCTTTCTCATATCTGTGAACTCTAAATGATGATATAGGCTACAACCACCAAAATCAGAAGAATCATTTCTGACAACAGCACTCCTGAAGAAATAGGATAGCCATAGTAATAACAAAGCAAGTGGTTTGTATTATACCTCAGGGCAGAGTTTTGTTTGCTTTTCAAGGCAATGGGATTAATAAAGAACTAGAAGGATTTTATTCCGAGTCTAGTTAGAGCACATCTCACATTCTTGATCTGTTTGAATATATTACGGCAACTGGGAAAATAATATAGTAATCTAAATCATAGGTACTCTGGATTTGTGTGGCAGGCAGAAATAAGACATAGGTTCAGAAGAAATGTATGCAAAATAGTTACAGGTTCTCTGTGAATGCCAGAAGATACATAAGCCAGATAAGATTTCTAGAATCATTGAAAGAACTGTTCCTTCTAAAGTATCCATCTTAGAGCTAATGATATCTCTTTTCCTCCTTATCATCCTGGTAAGGAAATGAAAGTCGGCTATGTAGGAACTTGTTTGGTGGGCTTCTATCAAGCAGCTGGTTTATTTATTGACATTAGGATTAGGTATATGGTATACTAGTGCCTGAGTTTTTATGAGGTTATTTCCAATATACTCTGCTTGATATCATCTTTGCTGGACAAGGAAGTAGAACTGACAGTTTGAATATCAGCTTCTTTCCTGGTTTTACATTTGAAAGGTTTGTTTGCAGAAATATTCATATATATGTATTATATATATGTTATGTATATAATATGAATGACTTTGGTGTACAATTAAAGATATTTTTAAATTATAAGTTATAAATTATAATTATAAATTAATATAATTATAAATTATAATAAACTATTCCTGTAATTATTATAATAACTATACATTATAATAAACTGTTGCATTCTCATGCAACTCTATTCCCTGTTAAGCAACTAGGGTTATCCTTTTGATCCTAGATATGAATCTGCCCTGGCAAACCAGAGGCTTCTATACCACCTGCAAGGGTCTCATCATTAGCCATATATTATCTCAGGGTCCTCTACAGTGTCTCTTTTTATATTCACTTCCATGGAGGAAATGATGTCAATCACCAAATCAAGAGAATTCTTTGGGTTCTTTATTATAAGGGGACTAATCTCATTCGTGAGGGCTACACCCACGTGACCTAATCACGTCCCAAAGCCTCCACCTCCTAATACCATCATCTTCGGGGTTAGGATTTCAACATATGAATTTTGTGGAGACACACATATTCAGACAATAGCACTTATATTTTGGTGATCCCTCAGAAAATTAAAAGTAGAATTACTGTATGATCTAGCAATTCCATGCCTGCATGTATACCCCCCAAAATGGAAAGCAGGATCCTAAAGAGATATTTGTATACCCTTTATCATAACATAATTATTCACAATAGCAAAAAGGTGAAAGCACCTCAGCTGTCTATAAGCAGGTGAATGGACAAACAAAATGTGGCGTATACATACCAGGAAATTTTACTTAATCTTATAAAGGAAGGAAATTGTGACATATGCTACATCCTGGATGGATTTTGAGCAAATTATCTATGTGAAATAAACCTGTCACAAAAACACAAATACTGTGTTGTTTTATTTATATGAGATACGTAGAGTAGTCACATTTATTAAAAACAAAAGTAGTAGGGTGGTTGCCAGGAATCCAGGAAAGGGAAGAATAGGAATTGTTGTTTAATGGGCATAGAGTTTCAGTTTCTCAAGATGAAAAGAGTTCTGGAGATTGATTGTACAACAATGTGAATACACTTAACACTACTCAACTGTGCACTTAAACAGAGCTAAGATGATAAATTTTACATGTGTTATGCCACAATTAAAAATAAAATAAAATATAATACTCACACATTAATGCCGCATTTGATATTTTATATCTTCTTGGTAATCTTTAAAACAATTTCATTCATTTTCAGGGCACCAGTCCAGAGCAAGAGGTTCATCAAGGGTTCATTTCTGTTTTGTTAGGTTTTGTTTTGTTTTCTCTAGGATTCAAGTCTCCCCCTGTTCTATGTGTGGAACACTTTCTCTTGGCTGCCTGGCAACTCTTCAACAAGGCCCCATACACTCTGACATCAAGGAGGGTATTATCCCAGAGCTTTCTCCCAAGATACTCAAACCTGGTGGTTTGCAGGCATGAGGTGGCCACCACCAAACTTTAGTCAGTCAATAGCCAGCAGGCTCTGCATGGGCATCAGCCCTTGGACACAAAAGTGACTAAAAGGAGCTGCTAAATGCCCCAGTAGGGCTTCTGAGAAGAAAGGGCAGCAGAGTACCAGGAGGAGAAGCCTAAAGAACAAAATGCATTTGCTGATCCTGGGGGAGCTTGCAGTTTCTATGCCCTTGATACTGTTACCAAGCTGAGCAAGAGGGAGAGGAAGCAGTGCTCAGCGAGTAAGTCCTTGACCAGGCCTTCTGTAGCCTGAGATTTGCCACAAGCTGTTTCAGCCCCAGCTGTTGCAAGCAGGATGAGCAAGCCAGAATATTCACCTGGCCATCCACTCCAGTAGTGACAAGGTGTGTCGAACAGTGTCTGCAGCTTGGGTCATTTCAGGTACACGAGGATAGAAGACACCTCAGAGACTAGCCCAAACTTCTCACTTTACATATGAAGAAAACTGAGGTCCACATTCATAGATTTACAGTTCAGTGCTTACTTTACTTTGTTTGTTTGAAATAAGTTACATGTCAAAAAAAAGTGGGGGTGATGTGGAGAGTATTAAAATAGTACTGAGCTTCAGAGGAAGAATTTCTAGTATCTTACTCTCTCCTATTCCCAAGCCTTCCCCTTTCTTCCTAATAGAAGGGAAAATTCGTCACTTCCATGGTCTTCTTTTTCTTGCTTTCGAACTGGAGAAAGCCCACCGTATTTTACCTTTCTTCTCTCCCTTTAGAAAAAGAGTATGGTAAGTAAAGTACAATATTCTTCACTCACCAAAGATAAAACCCAGGCATCTTTCTCCTCCTCTCTCCTCTCCAGAATCTACCCCAGCAGCTAGGCTGGAGAAGCTGTCTAGGTGATCTCCCTTAACATTATCATAAGCAAAGATTCTTTCTTGGTTTGGGTCTCTCTGTGATTATTACCTTTGTTCTAGTCCTTCCTTCACATCATAAGATAAGGTCCAAGTTTTAGGTTTGAATCGTCCCAGACAAATGCAGAATGTCTAGTCTCTCCTGTCTATCGCAATTCAACATTTAAATTGAGCTACCTTAAAAATAAGTTTACTAGGTTGGGCATGGTGCCACATGCCTGTAATCCCAGCATTTTGGGAGGGTACACTGGGAAGATCACTTGAAGCCAGGAGTTTGAGATCAGCCTAGGCAACAAATGAGACTCCGTCTCTTAAAAAAAAAAAAAAAAAAAAAAAAAAGAAAAAAGAAAAAAAGAAAATTAGCCAGGCATGCTGACACATGCCTACAAGCCCAGCTACTTGGGAGCTGAGGAGAGAACATTGCTTGAGCCCAGGAGTTCAAGGCTGCACTGAGCTGTGATCTTCCCACTGTATTCCAGCCCATGTAATAGAACGAGACCGTCTCAAAAAAAATAAAAAAATAAAAACAAGGAAGTTTACTAAATGTTCTAGTCCAGTTTATAAAATACTTTTCATTTTATATTTGATACCTAAGTCACTGCTTAAAAAATATTTTTTGGCCAGGCACAGTGGTTCACTCCTATAATCTGAGCACTTTGGGAGGTTGAGGCAAATGGATTTCTTGAGCCAAGGTGTTCAAGAATCCCATCTCTCCAAATAAAAGTATCTAATTCAAGTATCTATTGGTGTGTGTGTGTGTGTGTGTGTGTGTGTGTGTGTGAGAAGGTGTGCAGGGAAAATGCACCTATCTTCATAGATTAATGTTACTTAGCATCCCTGGGAAAATAGTAACTCTGACTACAGAGAAAAAAATCTCCAATTTAAAAAAGTTTTTTATATAACTTCGAAGGTCAATGGTTACCTTATTTAATTTCAGGTGATAACCAGAACTTCTTGAAATTTTAAAGGACGGCTAAGTGGTTAACCAGGGAAAAACTGTGATTAAATTATTACTGTAAAGAGCAAGATCAAGACAAGTGAATATATTTCAAGGAAATGACTGCATTAAGGAATCAATATATAGTTACAAGAGCTTTCCAGTGAGTGAGTCTACCATCCACAGAGTAAAACATTTTCTACAACTATTATATCAATATGTGGCAAATAATATCTTAAGATTTATTCACAAGTTGTTCCCACTTGAATATGTAGCCTCTTCTTTGAAATTGTGCTTTAAAGTGATCATTTGTAAGCATAAGAGTAACTGCAATTCTTGTGTCTTTCATTTCAAAATGTTAGAAGTCATTGGTGAATACATGGGTAAAGATGAAAGAAATTAATGATTGCTAGATATATACTTCAGGTTTTAATTAACTTATTTATGTCAGTGATTTATAAATAGTTGTTCTGTGGAACACAAAGTCTGAAAAATGTCTTAACAGAAAAATTAAATGTTCTGTTAAAAGCAATGAATTTTGGAAACACTGCATTACTGTAATGAGGAATATTAAAGAGATTTTGACTTGGAGATAGCCAAGGGATTTGGATTTGGGGATATAATATAACCAAGTGGGGTTCATCCCAGGTAAGATAATTTAATATTTAAAATCTATTAGTAATAATGATTTTCTCAATGGAAAAAAGAAAATTTAATATAATTAAACACATATAATAAATACTCTCAACATACTTGAAGCAGAAGAAAACCTTCTCAGTCTGGTGAAGAGTTTCAACACAAAGGCATCAGATAGCATAATTCTTCATGGTTAAATAAGTATTGAATAGTGTCCTTTGATTTTAGGAAGTAGACAAGGATATGTATGATCTCATTTTTGTATCTGGCTTCTTTCATTTAGCATAATGCTTTTGAGATTCACCCACATTGTTTCAAATATTAATAGTTCACTGCCTTTGTTGCTGAGTACTAGTTAATTGTGTGGATATAGCATAATTAGATTGTACATTCACCAGTTGAATGCTTATATTGTTTTATTTATGTTGTTGAATGAACCATATAAATGTTTCCAGGTTTGACTATTATTAATGCAGCTGCTATATACATTTGCATTCAGTCTTTGTATGCACATGTTTTGTTTCTTTTGGGTGGGGTGGAATTTCTGGGCAATAGAGTGTCTGTTTAACTTGACAAGAAATTGACAAACTCTCTTTCAAAATGACTGTATTATTTTTATTCTTTCTAAAATAAACATTTAATCCTATACATTTTCCACTAAACACTGCTCCTGCAGCATCTCACAAATTTTGATACGTTGTGTTTTCATTTTATTTCTCTTGAAAATATTTTCCAATTTCTCTTAGGATCTTCTCTTTGACCCATGGACTATTTGAAAATGTATTGTTTAATTTTCAAGAGTTTGGAAATTTACCTATCTTTCTATTATTTATGTATAGTTTAATTCAGTTATGGTCAGTGTGTTAGTCTGTTTAGTGTGTCTATAACAGAATACCTGAGACTGTGTAGTTTATTTTCTATATGCATTTATTTAGCACAGGATTCTACAGGCTGGGAAGCTGAAGAGCCTAGGGCCACATGTTGGGTCAAAAACTGGCATGGGAAAAGAGATCACATGGCAAGGGAGGAAGAGACAGTGTAGGAAGTCCATCTTGCTTTTATAACAGTTCACTCTCTAGGAACTAGTCCAGTCCTGGGAGAGCAAAATTTCACTCCCATAGGAGGGTATAAATCTACTCATGAAGGATCACCTCTGAGACTCAAACACCTCCCACTAGGCCCCAACTCCCAACAACACCACACTGAGAATCAAGTTTCAGCATGAGTTTGGGTGGGAAAACCACAGCATTCAGGGAACACATTTTGTATGATATCAATTCTTTTATGTGGTTAAGATTTGTTTTATGAATCAGGATATCCTTATTTGGTGAGTGTTGGATATACACTTGAAAATAATGAATATTTTCCTGCTTGGGGTGGATAATTATGTAAATATCAATTAGAAGCCATTGATTATTGGTGGTATTCAGTCCCTTTGTATCTTTTCCAATATTCTGTCCGCTAGTTTATCTATGACTGATAAATAAATCCACTGATATAATTGTGGATTTTTCTACTTCTCCATTCAGTTTTTTCAGTTTTTCCTTCATGTTCTGAAGCTCTTTTGTTATATTCATGTACATGTAGGGTTGTTATGGCTTCTTGGTGGATTTACCCTTTTATTGTTATGTAATGTCTCTATTCTGGTAATTTTCTTTGCTCTGAAATCTACTTTGTCTGATACTAATATAGCTATTCTAGCTTTCTTTTGATTAGCATTTGTATGGGAAATGTTTTTCCAACCCTTTAACTTTAATCTAACTCTATCATTGCATTTGGCATGAGTATATCATAGATAGCACTTGGCTGAATCCATTTTTAAAAATCTTTGTTGTCCATCTCACTTTTTTAGTTAGTATATTTAGATCATTTAGAGCCCGTTGGTTTACAAACAAATTTATGGGTTTGTATTCCTGAGCTCTCCCTAAAATCTCCCAGGTATTTTCCAGTTCCCTAGTGCTTTCTTTTTCTGTCCTCTGGCCAGAAAGCTGGAGCATTGGTTACTCTATGCTGCCATATACTACCCATGACCGTGTCAACATTAGGGGTAGCGAAGATCATAGTAATTGAAGCTTCAGGTTTCTGGCCTGTGGGAAGACAAAGAGGAAAAAATATATAATTGGAGTTTTCTCCACTCTCTTGGGACAACAGATCCTCTGGTTAGAGTGGAAGATTTTCCTCCCTCAAAGTTTATATGCTCCTGGATGGATGTACAATCATTTTGGAGGTCAATATGCAACACAATATCTAACATACTTGAAGATGGGCAGCCCTGTAATCCTGTTCCTCATCATACACCCTAAAGAAACACTTCAATGTGTATACCAGAGACAAAAATTACTTTATCATTTTATAGTAGCAAAAAATTAAAATTAAGCTAAATTATCATCAACAGAGGAGTGAACAGTTTGCTTCCTCACTTTATTCATGTCTCTGACCTAAAATGCAGCCTCTTTAGAAAGGCCTTTCATGGCCACCATATTAAAAATAATTCAATCTTCTCCCTCAACACCAACCTCCTTCAATCTCCTTATCCTATTTTATTGCTCCTAATAGTTCTCATTATGATCTGACACTAGATTGTATTATTGGCTTGTCTCCTGTTGTTCTCTCCCACCGTAATCCCATACATGTGTGGATTCTTTGCTGTTCATTTCATATACTTCACTACTTCACATTATATACTTATTTGTTAACATGTTTGTTTACTACCTCTCTCTCCAACTAGAATATAAATTCCATGAGAGTTGGGAAATTTGTCTTAGTCACTGTTGTATCACCCATATCTAAGAATGTGTGGTACTTAATAAGTGCTCAAAATATTTGTAGAATATATCAACGAATAAATTATGTAAATCTGAGTAACGACTACACGACATTTTATAATTCTCTATCTCTACGTTTTTATATTTTATACCTTTTTTTTTTTTTTTTGAGAAATGTTCTTGCTCTGTCACCCAGGCTGGAATGCAGTGGCATGATCTCTGCTCACTGCAACCTCTGCCTTCCAGGTTCAAGCGATTCTTCCGCCTCAGACTCCCAAAGTGCTGGGAGTACAGGCATGAGTCACCGTGCCCAGCCTATATTTTATAACTTTTGAAAGAGAAAATAACAATACATTGTTTTAAATAATCTTTCAGTGATTAATTTATAAGTGATTTTCTTCCTTATGTTTTATTTTTAAAAACTTCTTTGAACAGATTTTATTTTTATAAGTATAATAATACTTATTTTTGCTATTAATGTTTTATTTTATAATTTAGCTATAACTCTTTTGGTTAGCATTCAAGGTCTATTTCATTTTATATCTACTCCCCTGCCAACCTACCTTTCTAGCCCAACCATTCAGTAGTCATGAACGAGTATTCTGCATGCAAAACAAAATGGAAGATTGGTAGTTTTCGTATTATGCTCTATGCTTATTTCTGTCACTCCTAACTCTTCCTAACTTGCACTGTTCTCTTCATCTGGAAAGAAAATCCTTTCTCTCAGCCCTGTCACTTTCTCCCATCAAAATTGCAATCCTTCTTCAATGGCACATTGAGTGCCTTTTCACACTTTCTTATGGCAATAAATGCATGCAACAGAGGTGTTATTTGTGTATCTCCCTTTTTGCCTTAATGTCTTTGTTGACCAACCCCGTTTCCTAAAACACATTTTATAAAATTTGCATTTCACAGAATGTTAATCTAGGTCATGTGGAGAGAAAAAAAAATGATTCCATGGTAACTCAATTTTGAAATGGCTGTATTTAAAAAAAAATTTAAGTAGATTATTTTAATTTTGGACCTATCAAGAACATTTTATTTGTCAATAACCATTGTGAAACTTCAAGAGGGACCTATAATATTCAGACTTTCAACTTGTTGTCCATAAAACTACTTTGTACATTTTAATGGTTTCCCTTTAAAAATTTCTTTGTGCGAGTATTTCTCAATGTGGGCAATTGTATTTTGTTATATTTCGTATTTTGTGTGGGAACTTATCTCTCTCTTTACCTTCAAAATTCACTCACTGCAATTGATTAGCATAATAGATACTATATCAACACTAGATAAATACATGATTAATCTATTTCTATTAGGAACTTCTATAGAGAGTTTAGTACTTTGTCTAGTGTGACCCTTTAGGAATATACTTTTTTAATCATCTCTTTTTAGATAAGGAAATCTAGCCTGTGAAATTGACCCCCAAGTCTAATCCTCCTCTGCTTTCCAAAGTTGATAGTGAGTTGATAAAGTATCTGTGGAGAATTCATCCTCTCTTGTTACCGCTGAATACATATGAGTCAAAATCAATTTGACAGATGACAGTTACCTTCAAACTTTTGATGGGAATGAGAGGACAAAAGAGAACCTGAATTTTTCTCCACTCATTTAATGCTTGTTGACAGTGGAAATTTTTAAGAATTAGTCAGACTGTGGTTGTAGAGAAAGAATGGGTTGGAATTTTATACGGTTTCATGGTCAAACAAATTGACTAATTTGGATTAAGGCTGAGTTCTGAATGGAGACTTACTTTACTTTCATAGAATTTCAATGTTTGTCCACTTCAAAATGTATTCAGAGAATAAGCCATCGTTACTCTACATGTTTTGCATCTGACAAGTGTAATCCTTGTAGAAAGGTTTTGGCTGAAATCACTTACGAGCTAGAAAGGCCTATGGTGACAACATTGAATTTGGGAAACTCTTCTGTACTTTAAAAATTATTTTAGCAGAATAGTGAGTAGATCCATACAAAATAGTTCCAATGAGAGCTTCATAATTCATGTTATTGACTGACTCCCAAATCTGTAAATGTCTTTTTATGATTGTCTCTGCTGATTTACCCTCATTTTTTGATGATTGAGGCATGTTTCCAAATTATGTGGTAGTATTTTTGTTAGCACTAGTGTTGTGATTAAAACCTATTGTGCATCAGACATTTCCTAAAGTACCATGAAATATTTTACATATATTATTTCCTTTAATATTTTACATACATTATTTAATATTTTACATATATTTTTATATATTACTTATTTTACATATATTTCATGTAATCATCTCCAAAGTTATGAGATTAATGGAATGTTATTCCTTTTTATTATCCTCTACCAATAAGAAGACTTACATGACCAGAAGATTAGTTACTTTGTTCAAAGTCACAGAAGTAGTAAAAGGTTAAATTTGGATTCAAACACACACAATCTTAATCCAAAACCTGAATGTCCAGTTATGGCTACACAGTATACAAATGAGTTTAAAAGTATAAGCTCTCAAGTAAAAAAGTATCCCAAATTGTAAGCTCTGCTCTATATTATTTGTATGTATTTGGGTTCATTGCTGAATCCACTTAAACCTCAGTGTACTCAAGTGTAAATTAAAGCTAAAAAAGGCACACATTTCAGATGGTATCTGTAAAGACTAAGTAAGTTTATGCACATGCATAGACGAATAGAGTAAATGATGAGTAATTGTTACCTATTGACATGACACCTACCAGTATTATTGTGACTATGTTAAGAAAGTTTCTCCAAATGAACTTGTTGATTTCTCTATAGAAAGTTCCGTCAAAAGGCTTATCTGGGAAAAAAAATGTAGCAATACAGTAAATTTTAGTGTGTTTTAAGTCAAAGATAAGCTTTCCTGCAAGAATATATTATTTTTAAATCAATCTGGAATTAATCTTTTCCTTGCTGAAAGGAGAGCAGTTCAATACCATTATCATAATCTTTATCACCAGATATCATATTCATGATCAATAAAGGCATAAAGAAGTATTTAAAAACGTGTGCTCCAATCAGCAGAGAAACAGCACCCCTGTCCTCTCTGTTGACCACAGAGGCAGCCTCACCAATCGATTCTTCAGTGTTCTATGTGGTTCCAATCAGCTTCTCAATCCATAACACCAAATCAAAGATTCTACTTGTGGAACAGACTGATGACTCGTGAGAAGATAATGTATACACTAATTCATAATTCTTTAACAGACACAAAGCAGATTTACCCTCCTTAAAAGACCCAGAAAATAATAAATTCCTAAGGAATATTTTGGAAAATTAGTCTTTTTATTGCACTTATTATATGAAAAATGGCCTTCCATACTAAACAAGTTCATAAATTCTGTTTATTTCTCACATATTTTTTGTGATCCAGGTACTTTTTAAAGTAAATTTATTCTTCTCTCTAGAATTCAGATTTAGTCATAATCTACTTAAAAGCTCAACTCAAGTTATAGTCTTTTGCAGGCAATTTGCTGGTTTCACACACGAATCTCCCTTGGCAGAATCCAGTATAGTAAATTGTATTACTGCACATTACAGTCATTGTCTATAATTCCTTTGATTCTTCCCTACTTTTTTGCAGTACCTAAATTTGTCAGTTTGTATCTTCTTCTTGAATTGCCATTATTTCACTCTCACACCCATAATGTTTGTGGCTGTAGTCTACAAAGAGGTTTTTGCATTATAAAGATAAGGCAGTGGTAAACTGTATTGCGTCTATAAAACCAAAAGTCTGATTGTAGAGACTTTCTCAATTTGGGTCTTACACTGTTGCTTCAACAAAATAATGCATAAAACAACTGAGCAGGTGATTTTGAAATCTGCTACACCCTCTTATGCCTCTTATGTTGTTCGTTTGGACAAAGACATTTTTGTTAAGGATTATGTAATTTCACCCTCCATGATTTTTCTCTTGAATGTAATGTTAAAGGCTTTATCTTGTGTCTGTCACTGACAGTATACAGCTCAAGTAGCTTCCCATAAGTGGCAAAGGCAAGGGCCTCTCTGGATTATCAATAAGGTGTTGCATTTTTACAAGAAAAATTCACATATTATCATATTAAGTCTCCTCCTCTAACATGCTGTTTATCCTTTAGCCCCCAATCAAGAAGGGTTTAGTGGTCCCAGACACCACCTAGATGCCAACATCAGCTCTAACATTTATGGTTTGTCTTTTCCTGAGCTTGCTTGCCTTTTTTGTTCTTTTTGCCTGAGGAGGGGGTAAATTAATTTTTTTGACTCTGTGAAAATGATCTAAAAAGAGTTGACATCTTCTAACAAGTCTATACTACTTTTGATTCATCTTCTTTATTTTCCATCCACTCTTTAATTTGCTCCATTCTGTCCCAACTCCCATCTAAACTGCTCCTTTCAATGGTCAAATTAAATCGTCATTTCTTTCTGTATTTATCTTGCTTTAAGTCTCAGCAGCAGCGTTTTAAACAGTTTTCTGTAGCATTTGACTCACTCTCCTTCTCTCTCTTGCTCTCTCTCTCTTCTAAAACTTAGATTGTAGGAGATCATGCTCACTTAGTTCTTAGGTATCTCTTGCTTCTCAGTGTCTTTTCACAGCTGCTCCTTCTCAACTTGTTCTTTGAGTACTGAGAAGTTGAATCTTCTTATATAAAGACATATATATAAATATATACACACACACATGCACACATATATCTTTATGTATATAGATGTCTTTAAGACTCAACTTTATATATACACACATATATGTCTTTACATATATATGTATACATATATGTCTTCAAGCACCTCATTTATATATATTTATATATAGATGTATAGATGTCATTAAGTACTTCATTTATATATATATTTATATATAGACATATATATGTCTTTAAGTACCTCATTTATATATATATATTTATATATAGACATATGTCTTTAAATGCCTCATTTATATATATTTATATATAGACATATATATGTATGTCTTTAAGTACCTCATTTATATATATTTTAATATAGACATAATATATAGTCTGTCTTTAAGTACCTCATTCAGTTCCAGAGCGGAAATACTCTGATGACTCTCAGATTAGAATCTAAAGTCATGAACTCTCCCTTAAGCTTGGATTTAGACATCAAAATGAAGATTGAAGAACTAAGCAAGATACACACTAAAAATCTCAAATTTGATATGTCCCCCAATTTCCCACAGAAACATCTTACTCCAGTCTCTCCTGTCTACATAAATGGAGCTACAGTCTGCCCTCTTTATTTACTCCAAAACATAGACAATTATACTTAACTACTTTCTGCCCTTTATTTTTCACTTTCTCAGAGAAACTGATCAGTTCTGTCCCTCAAATATGCCTTTAATTTGTTCACATTTCTTCACCTCCACTGTCACTTCTACATATCACTATCAGTTCTCACCTGATTTACAGTAGTGGCCTTTTAACTGGTCATCAATTTTCCTCTCTTAACTTTCCCAAATCAGGATACACTGCAGTAACAGAGGGATATTTTGAAAATGAAAATCTGGTTGTGTCATTCCCCTTTGACAACTTGTCACTGGATTCCTACAACTCTTAGAATAAATTCCTAAATCCTCACCGTTGAGAAGACAACATGCACCGGCCCTCATCCAAGGCCTGGCCTCATGCAGCTTCGGTAGTGTACATCTTTCATGACGCCAGCTCATTCTCTCCTTAGTGCTTAGTATAGATGCCCTTTCCTCTGGCTCTTCAAATCTCTGGCTCCTCATTAGACAGGTTTCATTTCAAATATCACTCCCTAATGGGCCAAGCCTTTTCTGAACACCTTACCTATGTAGCCCCTCCCCAGTCACTCCTCCAGCCCATAGCTTCATTATCTTCCTTGCATTCATCAGTATCTAAAATTATCTGATGTATTTTTTTTCAATTAATTATTGTAGTTGTCTTTTCCATTAGAATGTAAGCTGTCTGTGGATGAAGACCCTTTTCATTTTGTTCATTGCTTTGCCAGCTGCCCAAGAAGAATATCAGGGACATAGTATATATTCAATATATATTTGGAAACGAAAGAGTGAATGTATTTTCCATGAATGTTTATTCATTCTTGCTGAATCCTGACTTAGGTGCCCTGAACAGTCATTCTGAGTTTTTGTTTCCAGTCACTACTTTAACTCTTTGTTGCTAAGGACCTACTGTGCATTCAAACCATTGCCAGGCCTATGACTGTGGCACATGAAATTTCAATTTCTAGAAACCTGACAGTTTTCTTCAGGGTAGTGAAAGTTCTTGGCTGGGTGTTGTGGCTCACACCTATAAACCCAACACTTTGGGAGGCTAAGGCAGGAGGATCACTTGAGGCCAGGAGTTTGAGATCAGCCTGGACAACATAACAAGACCCTATCTATCTCTACAAAAAAAAAAAAATATATGAAAATTAGCTGGGTGATGTGTGCCTGTAGTTCAAGCTATTCTGGAAGCTGAGGCAGGAGGATCACTTGAGGCCAGGAGTTTGAGATCAGCCTGGACAACATAACAAGACCCTATCTATCTCTACAAAAAAAAAATATATATATGAAAATTAGCTGGGTGATGTGTGCCTGTAGTTCAAGCTATTCTGGAAGCTGAGGCAGGAGGATCACTTGGGCCCAGGAGGTCAAGGCTTCAATGAGGCAAGATCATGCCACTACACTTCAGCCTGGGCGACAGAGTAAGGCCATGTCTCAAAAAAATGTTCTAGATGCCTATTTGCAAGTCTAAAATCTATATTTTTCTGGAACCCACGCCTCTACTGCATCTGCTTTCCATATGTCCAAGTAGCTATGAGCATTAAGGACCATTGGGGCTGTACTAATTCCTGAGAGCAATTCCTCTGCTGCACTGAGGATTGAAAGATGACCTGGAATTACAGATGCCTGCCCTCCCAATGCCTGCTGGACTTGAACTCCACCTCCCTGGGGAGGGAGCAGGGCATCAGGCTGCAAGTCGTGATGGAGAGTCTTGGATGTGCTTAGGAGAAATGCTGTCAGAGAGCAGATATATGAATGAATTTAATGGTTCTGCTGGTTCTGGCATTGCTTCATTCAAACTGCATTATGGCCTAGACACTGCATGCTGAAGAGGAGATTCTTATTTTTATTAGTGAGGATTAATGAGTAAAGAATCAAGGACAAAAATCAAAGGAAAGGAATGAACCCCAGATAGTGGGGATGTGGTGCGTGTGCGTAAGGTATTATGACAGTGATGGTCTCTAGCATGCAAGCCCAACAAGCTGGGATAGACATAGATATTTTAGGTGGATATTAAGTTTGATATATATGTATATATAAATTTTCATGTGAAAGAAATGGACAACTATAGGGTTTCAGAAAAGAAAGATATTGCATCCAGTTTTGTTTATTAGGACAGACATGATGCTAAAATCCTTTCGAATGAAACAAGATAGGAACAAAATGTTCAAAGAAGAACCAAATCTCAGAGAATATGAATCAATTAATTTTAACCAAAATATACGGTTTGTTTAGGACGGTAATAGTGGGAGGCTCTTAATGTAATGATCTATCTGGCCCAATCTCTTTAATCTCTTTAGTTTTTGTCTCATTTTCTTGATTATCCTAACAGTCAGCCTTCCGGATTTGTAACTTTTACTATATTTTTATGTTGCATGTTCAACGATGAGACGATTAAACATAATACAATGAAATTCTAATTATATTCTAAAAGTGTGTCTAATGTATAATTGTTGAAAGAAATAAAAGGACACATTTCCAGACTTAGGATATTTTTACTAAAATGTTCCTCTTCTGTGAACTATTTTCATTTTAAAACCATTGCATTAATGGCTGTAATTTTTATTATGAGCAGCTGACTCCACAGATGTAGCATCAAGCTCATTGACAACCCTCATAGGAGGCGGAGGTCAAAGGGAACATGACTGAATCAGTTTGCACATGGAATCAGAGGAAAAACATCTTTATTACAAGGCCTTTCATTCTTTCATTCTTTTAAATGTAGAAATTAATTCACTCTGATGTAAGAAAATAAAACAGTGATGCATAGAATGTTACCTATCTTTGTTTATCTTATATCATCAAACTTCATGAGTGGAAGTGAGCGAGCTAGTCTCTATGTTAAAATGTTTCACTTCAAACACAATTTTCAACTTGGAAAAAAGATAGGGTTGAAAAGTGGGCATTTTATATAATTGAATTCCTAAAAAGAAAGACTTTTTGTATACATGGAATCATATACCTTTGAAACAAGAATAAATTCAAGTGAAGACAGTGTCGGTCTTCTTGGAAATTAACAAGTCCAGAAGGGGAAGAAAGGAATGTGGTTTCACAAGTATCACATGATTCTTAAACAGATGCTGTTATACCTTTTGAGGGTCAGGGGTAAATTGCAAATGCCAGTGTAAAACACAGCAGTCCCATACACTTTTATTAAAATAATTGTGAGGAAAGCTACCTCTTGCAATTAGTCTAAAGACCATTGTGGAAATGTATATGTTTGAAAAGCTACAGTGGCAAAAAATGAAAGAAAAAAATTGTCTGATTGTAAGGCAGCCAAGGAAAGACTGACTGATCCTCTACTCTTTATCCTACTTCTTTCTCAGAATTCCCGTCTTCTTCCCTTTCACTCTGCACTGGGAAGTATGAGAAGATGATCAGAAGAGGAGCAGAAAGTACTCCATTATCCAGCACCAACCATCTGAAGACTTTGGTGGTATTTATAAATATTTGACAAAAATAATGGTACTTTTGGAGACAGGTGCTCCTACTTTAGATGAAATTACTTAAACCAGGGGTTGGCAAACTTTCTAGATGAAGTCAGATAGTAAATATTTTATGCTGTGTGGGCCATACAGTTTTTGTTGCAGCTATGTAACTTTGCCATTATAGGATAAAACATTCCATAGTGTGCAAGCAAATAAACATGGCTGTGTTCCAATAAAAACTTCTTTTTTTTTTTTTCTTTTTTTTTTGAGATGGAGTCTCGCTCTGTCACCCAGGCTGGAGTGCAGTGGCACGATCTTGGATCACTGCAACCTCTGCTTCCCGGGTTCAAACAATTCTCCCTGCCTCTGCCTCCCAAGTAGCTGGGATTACAGGCACCCACTACCATGCCAGCTAAGTTTTTTGTATTTTAGTAGAGACGGGGTTTCACTATGTTGGCCAGGCTGGTCTCGAACCCTTGACTTCAGGTGATCCGCCCACCTCGGCCTCCCAAAGTGCGGGGATTACAGGCGTGAACCCAATAAAACTTTATGTACTGAAGCAGGTGGATGGTCAAATTTGGTTTGGAGGCCTTATGTTGCCTATCGCTGTCTTCAAATATTGAATAATATTTACTAAGGGAATATTTATTAGAAAAAACAAATCTTTAGTGCAAAATTCACTAGACCCATGGTTCTAGGGACCTCACTCACTGAGGGCATCCAGTTCATGTAAACACACACACCCACACATGGAAATAGAATATATGTAACCTTGTAATGTTTAGTTTTAACTGAAAATAAAAGAATGCTAATTCAAATATATAATATGCTATTTACATGATGTGGGGGAATAGTAAACAGAATTCCAATATCTGAACCCTCATTTTTAGAGCTGCACTAAAAGGAAAAAAATATATACTTAAATGGCTCTGTTTGCTATCATCTTTTTGGAACAAATTGAGTCATACATTAGGTAATTTTTCAGTAAATCTCCTGTTAGGGCTGTAGAAATCTCATTCCAAACTTTCTGAGAACTCTTAAGCCATGTCTGAAATCTTAAAAGCTTGATGAATGTAAATAAATATGCTTTAAATCCAATATAGCTGAAGTAGGAGGTACAATTGCAACTTTTAAGAATTTACCAATTACTCTTCTAATTACATCCTTGTATATAATTGTCACTATATTCTAAGTATCTTTCACCAAAGCATCAGATTTGCCATCATTTTAGATTGGAAAAGAAACATTTGTAAATCAAGCTGTTGTTAGCAATGTTAAAACATATGCAAAATTTGGATCCAAGTAGTAAGCATATACTAACAAGCATGTAGTTTTAGACACAAAGGGTCAAACTACCTTTTCAGTAGACTCTAAAAACTTTATACGTGCCACGGAATTGAGTCCAATCTTCAGGAACTGCTTAGATTTTAACCTAAAAATAATGATATATGAGACAATGGATGGAATAAAGGAAACACTGGCATAATTAGATACTAGTGAAAAGAACATGGAGCTTAGATTATAAGGCAAGTGAGTTAAGGTCAAACAATTGAAAGACTGTTATAGGTTGAATGATGGATTTAAAGAAAGAGTGTGGGATTTTTTAGACTCTGTAAATTGGAGGGTTTGAAAACAATCCTCCTTACACATTGACAAAAAAGCTCTTTGGCTTTAAGATTCACAATCTTTTTACCCCACAGGTTGGTATAATAAAAACATCCAGCAATCCATACAGCTATTATTAACAAAAAGTTCTAATGATTTACAAAAATATATTAAATAGATTTTTGTTTTGTTATGTTTCTATTTTCCCACTATGGAAGTTAGAACATGAGTGGTCCCCTAAGGAAAACATGATCTTAAGAACACAAAACTAATTATTCTGTCATTAGGATTTGAAGAAGGAAAGAGAAAGCAGTAGATTTTTTTTTTCCAGTTAGAGTACGGCAGATTTTCATGTTCACCAGAGCCTATGGAATTGTTTCAATTAGTCACTGAAGTCTAGTACAAAACCTCTTGCATACTGTCTAAAACACATGTAGGCCACCCACAGTCCCAGAAGAGCTGCACATATTTCTGAATTGTGTACTATGGCCTTAACGTCCATAGATTCTTGCTTTCTATAGCAGCCTTAGTGAGGATGAAAAGGTACATTTTTATAACATACACCATGATATGCATAACGTTTTGCCTCCAGTCCCTGTATCTTAGAAGTGTATTTTCTGTGACATATAGTATACAAGGTAAATGCGCTGTGGAGTAACAAATTAAAAAGCTTTTATAGAAACCTCTAAATACTATTTATGACTCCCCTGGTATTACCTAAACTTGTTACTGCTCAAATAATTACAAGTTTTCCAATAAGTGTGGGGTAGGCATTGTTGACTAACAATAGATGCAATGAGCAGTGCAATTTATTTTGAAGGCTGAGCCATCAAGGTAGTTTTTATCAATGATGTCCTTTCTGTGCACTGCCAGGCAGACAATGAGAAAGGGCATTTTTAAAAACGGTGGTATTTTTCTGCACTGACACAGTCCTTCCCGGGTGAGAACACCTCAATCCTGTCCCTTTTATTTAGTATATAACATCGATATTATTTTTAAAATGAGCTGATACACAGATACACTCACCTGGTTATATAGGAATTTAAACATCATGAAAAGTTTGCAGTGCATCTGCAGTTATATAATTAATAAATTTAATGAGACCTATCTATAGGCTGTAGTCCCAGCAGTTTGGGAGCCTGAGGCGGGCAGATCATTTGAGATCAGGAGTCTGAGACCAGACTGGCCGATATGGCAAAACCCCATCTCTACTACAGTAAAGTGCAAAAATTGGCTGGGCGTGGTGGTGTGTGCCTGTAATCCCAGCTACTTGGGAGTCTGAGGCAGGAGAATCACTTGAACCCAGGAGGTGGAGGTGGAGGTTGCAGTGCGCCGAGATCATGCCACTGCACTCCAACCTGTGCTACAGATGGAGATTCTGTATCAAAAAACAAACAACAAAAAAGAAAAGAACAGAAAAGTGGTTTTTTGATCTCAAGGGGATCATGATCTAGTAAATAATTCTTTGGTTTATGATTCTTTTTCAAAACAATGACAAAGTGGCGTGAATTTGATTCATCGAAAATTTATTGAGCATCTACTAAGTATCAGCTATTGGCTAGACTCTAGGACTCAAACATTAAATTCCCTGGCTTCTGGATGTTCATGATCTCGTGAAGGATGGAGAAGGTTACATAAATAGCACTTGTAGATGGTAGACAGGGGTAGGTGATATGAGTTCCAACCAACATGGTATTGAAGGAGGCAAATTAAGATTCTGAGTGGAACTGAGGGGGTATTAGGAATAGGTATTAGGAATAACGTAGAAGGTGAGCTTGCAAATGCGATTTAGGACTGGGATGACAGGGCTTTCCAGGTAAATAATGACTTATTTTGAAAAAAAATGCATGAAGATAAAACTAGCAGAAATATAATTTATGCAAGACTGAATATCAGCCAGAATTATTATTTGGACAGCTGTTTGATGGGATGATATAGAGGTAAAATTAAAAGAAAAAGGATAATTATCGTTTTCGTGATACATGCAGCCTAACTGGAGAGTAGAAGAATCCATTCTGCAGGATCAGATCTGTTTCCACATACTCTGTGTAATGATTAAAAACTTGGATCTTGAAGCATAACAATTGTTCCCACCCTATCTATCTGTTAGGGATTTTATGACTGTAAAGAAGAACACACTTGGAATTGCTTTATAAATTTTTAAACTTTAAAGAAATGTCAATATTCTGGCATGAATTGAGAGATGTATAAGTACTGCTTGTCCTGACATATCACACAATTGACTTCCCAGCAATCCAGCCGCTGTGTTGGGCAGTGCAGACAATGCTGGCCATTTGGACATGACTGGCAGTGACAAAATACTGTCCGTAATGATGGTGCCTCTCTGGAAGGTCAGATGATGTTGTATTTTACCACGCTATGAATGCCCTTTGTGCAGCTGACAATCAAGAAGTCTCGAAAGAAAGTTGCTGTCATTTACAGAGTGTCAATGTGGTAGTCTTTGCCTCTCATGTTGGAAGCCTCAGGTCTGCCTCCATCAGTGAGGTGGGAGACACTAGGCTGGACCTTTAAACACATAAGCAACAAAAAGTACAGAAGCAGCGACAGCACAGGTGGCCGGGAATCCCATACTTGTATAGAATGCTGGTGGAACCTATTGTCATTCCTGGATGGAACCGCAGGTTTTTGGTGGCTTGTTGGGTTGTTCTCTGATGACTTGCTTTATTCCCACTTAGGTGAGTCCAGGCTAAACAGGGCTGATCAGGAAGCCCTCTGAAATGTGGGATTATGATGGGAAGGATTACCTCAGGATGTAGAGAAAGAAAAAATTGCAGAGATAGACTCAAAGTCAATCCTAACTGATTATGTAAAGGTGGATCCTTTTTTCTTTGAGACAGAGTCTCCTCTGTCACCCAGGCTGGAGTGCAGCCTGACTGTCACCACCCACTGCAGCCTCCACCTACTAGGCTCAAGAGATCCACCCACCTCAGCCTCCCAAGTAGCTGGGACCACAGGCAGGAATGACTATTCCGGGCTAGGTATTTTATTTTCAGTAGACATGAGGTCCTGCTATGTTGCCCAGGATGTTCTCAAACAACTGAGCTCCACTGATCCTCCCACTTCGGTTTCCCAAAGTGCTTGGGATTACAGGCGTGAGCCACTGCACCCGGGCCTGGATCCTTCTTGTGCAGCCCAGGCTGTTGTCCCAAATACTCCCTACTACCCACCTGATACGGTTTGGATTTGTGTGTTCACCCAAATCTCATATCAAATTGGAGGAAAGTCTTGGCGGGAGGTGACTGGATCATGGGGGCGAATTTCCCCCTTGCTGTTCTTCTGAGAGTGAATGAGTCCCCAGGAGATCTGGTTGTTTAAAAGTGTGGCACCTCCCAGTTTCCTTTCTCTCTCCTGCTCTACTGTGGCAAAACGTGCATAATTCCCCTTCACCTTCTGCCATGATTGTACGTTTCCTAAGGCCTCACAACCAGGCTTCCTGTACAGCCTGTGGAACTGTAAGTAAAGTTCTTTTCTTCATAAATTACCCAGTCTCAAGTAGTTCTTTATAGCAGTATGAGAATGGACTAATGCACCACCCATATTTTATTTTTAGAATATTTCATTTTTATATTTTTCATGTGACTCATACTAATTATTATGCCCCCTCTAGTCCTCACACAAATCTGAAAAGTAGAGGAACACTATTTGATCTCTTTGACACTTCATGTTATTTTTCCATGGCTCCTCATTTCTCAGACCCTTTATGTATCCACATTCTTCTCTCTTTTTAAATTTTATTTATTTTATTTTAAGGTCCAGGATACATGTGCAAGACATGCAAGTTTGTTACATAGGTAAATCTGTGCCATGGTGGTTTGCTGCACCTATCAACCCATCACCTAGGTATTAAGCCCAGCTGCATTAGCTATTTATCCTGATGTTCTGCCTCTCCCTGCCCCACCGACAGGCCCCAGTGTGTATTGTTCCCCTCCCCGTGTCCATGTGTTCTCATTGTTCAGCCCCCACTTATGAGTGAAAACATGCGGTGTTTGGTTTTCTGGTCCTGTGTTAGTTTGCTGAGGATAATGGCTTCCAGCTGCATCCATATCCCTGCAAAGGACATGATCTTGTTCCTTTTTATGGCTGCATAGTATTCCATGGTATCTATGTACCACATTTGTTTTAATCCAGTCTATCATCAATGGACATTTGGGTTGATTCTATGTCTTTACTATTGTAAAAGTGTTGCAATGAACATAACATGTGCGTGTATCTTTATAATAGAATGATTTACATTCCTTTGGGTTTATACCTAGTAATGGGATTGCTGGGTCAAATGGTACTTCTGGTTCTAGCTCTTTAAGGAATTGCCAGTCTTCCACAATGGTTGAACTAATTTACATTACCACCGACAGTGTAAAAGCATTCCTATTTCTCCACAGCCTCACCAGCATCTGTTGTTTCTTGACTTTTTAATAATCATCATTCTGAATGGCATCAGATGTCATCTCATTGTGGTTTCGATTTGCATTTCTTTAATGATCAGTGATGTTGAGCCTTTTTCTCATGTTTGTTAGCCACTAAATGTCTTCTTTTGAGAACTGTCTGTTCATGTTCTTTGGCCATTTTTTGATTTGGTTGGTTGTTTCTTGTAAATTTGTTTAAGTTCCTTGTAGATTCTGGATATTAGACTTTTGTCAGATGGATAGATTGCAAAAATTTTCTCCCATTCTGCAGGATGTCTGTTCACTCTGACAATGGTTTCTTTTGCTGTGCAGAAGCTCTTTTGTTTAATCAGATCCCATTTGTCAAATTTTGCTTTTGTTGCAATTGCTTTGGGTGTTTTCATCATGAAATCTTTGCCTGTGCCTATGTCTTGAATAGGATTGCCTAGATTTTCTTCTAGGGTTTTTATAGTTTGGGTTTTACATTTAAGTCTTTAATCCATGTTGAGTTAATTTTTGTACAAGGTGTAAGGAAGGGATCCAGTTTCAATTTTCTGCATATGGCTAGCCTGTTTACCCAGCACCATTTATTAAATAGGGAATCCTTTCCTCATTGCTTGCTTTTATCAGGTTTGTCAAAGATCAGATGGCTGTAGATGTGCAGTCTTATTTCTGAGATCTCTCTACTGTTCCATTGGTCTCTGTGTCTGTGTTTGTACCAGTACCATGCTGTTTTGGTTACTGCAGACTTGTAGTATAGACATTGGGTAGCGAGATGCCTCTAACTTTGTTCTTTTGGCTTAGGATTGTGTTGGCTCTATGGGCTCTTTTTGGTCCCATGTGAATTTTAAAGTAGTTTTTTTCCTAATTCTATGAAGAATGTCAATGGTAGTTTGATGGGAATAGCACTGAATCTATAAATTACTTTGGGCCATATGGCCATTTTCAAAATATTGATTCTTCCTATCCATGAGCATGGGATATTTTTCCATTTGTTTGTGTTCTCTCTGATTTCCTTGAGCAGTGGTTTGTAGTTCTCCTTGAAGAGGTCCTTCACTTCCTTTGTTAGCTATATTCCTAGGTATTTTATTCTCTTTGTAGCAATTGTGAATGAGAGTTCATTCATGATTTGCCTCTCTGCTTGTCCATTGTTGGTGTATAGGAATGCTTGTGACTTTTGCACATTGATTTTGTATCATGGGACTTTGCTGAATTTCCTTATCAGATTAAGGAGCTTTTGGGCTGAGACAATGGGGTTTTCTAGATATAGGATCATGTAGTCTGCAAACAGACAGTTTGACTTCCTCTCTTCTTATTTGAATACTCTTTATTTCTTTCTTTTGCCGAATTGCCCTGGCCAGAACTTCCAACACTATGTTGAATAAGAGTGGTGAGACATGGCATCCTTATCTTGTGCCAGTTTTCAAGGGGAATGCTTCCATCTTTTGCCCATTCAGTATATCTGTTGCAGGTTTGTCATAAATGGCTGTTAATATTTTGAGATATGTTTCGTCAATACCTAGTTTATTGAGAGTTTTTAACATAGAGGGATGTTGAATTTTATGAAAACCTTTTCTGGATCTATTGAGGTAATCATGTGGTTTTTGTCTTCAGTTCTGTTTATGTGATGAATTACGTTTATTCATTTGCATATGTTGAACCAGGCTTGCATCCTGGGGATAAAGCCAACTTGATGGTGCTGGATAAGCTTTTTGTTGTGCTGCTGTATTTGGTTTGCCAGTATTTTACTGTGGATTTTTGCATAGATGTCCATCAGGGATATTGGCCTGAAGTTTTCTTTTTTTGTAGTATCTCTGCCAGGTTTTGGTATCAGGATGATGCTGGCCTCATAACATGAGTTAGGGGGAAGTCCTTCCTTTTCAATTGTTTGTAATAGTTTCAGAAGAAATGGTACCAGCTCCTCTTTGTACCTCTGGTAGAATTCAGCTGTAAATGTCTGGTCCTGGTCTTTTTATGGTTGGTAGGCTATTTATTACTGCCTCAATTTCAGAACTTGTTATTGGTCTATTCAGGGATTCAACTTCTTCCTGGTTTAGTCTTGGGAGGGCGTATGTGTCTAGGAATTTATCCATTTCTTCTAGATTTTCTAGTTTATTTGCATAGCCATTTCTTCTAGATTTTCTAGTTTATTTGCATAGAGCCATTTATAGTATTCTCAGATGGTTGTTTGTATTTCTGTGGGGTCAGCAGTGATATCCCCTTTATCATTTTTTATTGTGTCTATTTGATTCCTCTCTCTTTTCTTCTTTATTAGTCTAGCTAGCAGTGTATTTATTAATTTCTTTTCAAAAAAACACCTCCTGGATTCACTGATTTTTTGAAAGTTTTTTCGTGTCTCTGTCTCCTTCAGTTCCACTCTGATCTTAGTTATTTCTTGTCTTCTGCTAGCTTTTGAGGTTGTTTGCTTTGGGATTTCTAGTGCTTTTAGTTGTTATGTTAGGATGTTAATTTGAGATCTTTCTAGCTTTTTGGTGTGGATATTTAGTGCTATAAATTTCCCTCTTAACACTGCTTTAGCTGCATCCCAGAGATTCTGGTACATTGTTTCTTTGTTCTTTTTGGTTTCAAATAACTTTTTGATTTCTGCCTTAATTTCATTATTTACACAGAAATCATTTAGGAGCAGGTTGTTCAATTCCATGTAGTTGTGTGGTTTTGAGTGAGTTCCTTGATCTTGAGTTGTAATTTGATTGCACTGTGGTCTGACAGACTGTTACAATTTCAGTTCTTTTGCATTTGCTGAGAAGTGTTTTACTTCCAATTATGTGATTGATTTTAGATAAGTGCCATGTGGTCCTGAGAAGAATGTATATTCTGTTGTTTTTGGGTGGAGAGTTCTGTGGATATCTATCAGGTCCACTTGATCCAGAGCTCCAGAGCTGTGTTCAAGCGGTGAATATTCTTGTTAATATTTTTTTCTTGTTGATCTTTCTAATATTGACAGTGGAGTGTTAAAGTCTCCCACTATTATTTTGTTAGAGTCTAAGTCTCTTTGTAGGTCTCTAAGAACTTGTTTTAATAAATCTGGGTGCTTCTGTATTGGGTGCATATACATTTAGGATAGGTACTCTTCTTGTTGAATTCATCTCTTTACCATTAAGTAATGCCCTTCTTTGTCTTTTTTGATCTTTGTTGGCTTAAAGTGTGTTTTGTCAAAAACTAGGATTGCAACCTCTGCTCTTTTTCTGCTTTCCATGTGCTTGGTAAATTTTCCTTCATCCCTTTATTGTAAGCCTATGTGTGTCTTGCGCATGAGATGGGTCTCTTGAATACAGCATACCAACGGGTCTTGACTATCCAGCTTGTGATTCTGTGTCTTTTAATTGGGGCATTTTGCCCATTTACATGTAAGATTAATATTGTTATGTGTGAATTTTATCCTGTCATCAAGATGCTTGCTGATTATTTTGCAGACTTGTTGATGTTGTTGCTTCATAGTGTTATTGGTCTTTGTACTTCAGTGTGTTTTGCAGTGGCTGATAATGGTTTTTCCCTTCCATATTTAGTGCTTCTTTCAGGAGCTCTTGCAAGGCAGGCCTGGTGGTGACGATTCCCTCGGCATTTGCTTGTCTGAAAAGGATTTTATTTCTTCCTCATTTGTGAAGCTTAGTTTGGCTGGGCATGCAATTCTGGGTTGGAAATTATTTTCTTTAAGAATGTTGAATATTGGCCCCCAATCTCTTCTGGCTTAAAGGGTTTCTGCTGAGAAGTCCATTGTTAGTCTGATGGGCTTCCCTTTGTAGGTGCCCTGGTCTTTCTCTCTTGCTCCCCTTAACATTATTTTCCTTAATCTCGACCTTGGAGAATCTGATGATTATGTGTCTTGGGGTTGATCTTCTCATGGAGTATTTTACTGGGGTTCTCTGTGTTTCCTGAATTTGAATGTTGGCCTGTTTTGTTAGGTTGGGGAAGTTCTCCTGGATGATATCCTGGTATGTTTTCCAACTTGATTCCATTCTCCCTGTCTCTTTCAGGTACCCCAATCAGTCATAGGTTTGGTCTTCTTACATAATCCCATAGTTCTTGGAGATTTAGTTCATTCCTTTTCATTATTTTTTCTCTAATCATCTTGTCTGCCTGTCTTATTTCAGCGAGATAGTCTTCAAGCTCTGAAATTCTTCCCTCTGCTTGGTCTATTTAGTTATTGATACATGCGTTTGCATTGTGATGTTCTTGTGTTGTGTTTTTCAGCTCCATCAGGACATCGCTTCCTCTCTAAACTGGCTATTATGGTAACAGCTCCTGTAATGTTTTATCATGGTTCTTAGCTTCTTCACATTGGGTTAGAACATGCAACTTTAGCTCAGCAAAGTTTGTTATTACCCATCTTCTGAAGCCCATTTCTGTCAATTTGCTCATTTCAGCCTCTGTCTTTTTCTGTGCCCTTGCTGGAGAGGTATTTCAGTCATTTGGAGGAGAAGAAACACTCTGGTTTTTTGGGTTCTCAGCATTTTTTTGTTGATTCTTTCTTATCTTCATGAGGTTGCCTAGCTTCAATCTTTGAGGCTGCTGACCTTTGAATGGGGTTTTTGTGGGGGCTTTTGTGTTGATGCTGTTGTTGTTGCTGTTTGTTTGTTTTTCTTTTAACAGTCAGGCCCCTCTTCTGTAAGGCTGCTGCTGTTGGCTGGGGTTCCATTCCAGGCCCTATTTGCCTGGTCCTTCCCGCACTTGAAGGTGTCACGCATGGAGGCTGCAGAACAGCACAGATGGCTGCCTGCTCCTTCCTCTGGGATCTCTGTCCACACAGAGCACTGACCTGATGCCAGTGGAAACACTACTGTGTAAGGTACATTGGGGGTTCTCACCCAGTTAAGGGGCACGAGATTCAGGACTCGCTTAATGAAGCACTCTGGCTCCCCCTTGGTGGACGGGTTGTGCTGTTCTGGGGGGAATTCCACTCATTTGGGCTGCCCAGATTCCTCAGATCCAGCAGGGGGAAAGACGAAGTCTGCTGATCTGTAGAGACCATGGCCACGCTTCCCTAAAGGGGCTCAGTCCCATGGAGATCAGAGTTTTGTCCCTAAACCCCTGGCTGGAGTTCTGAAATCCCTGCAGGGAGGCCCTGTCCGGTGAGGAGGAATGGGTCAGGGTCCAGCCTAAGGAGGCAGTGTGGCCATGATCTCCCACAGCTGCTGTGCTGCGCTCGTGGGGAATTCCTCCTGGGTCCAAACCGTCCAGTCCCCCTGGCACCAGCAGGAAAAACATGGCAGACTGGAGCTGCAGTGATGGCTGCTGCCCCTCTCCCCAGGAACTCAGTCATCTTAGGCAGCAGGCAGCATAGTGATGGCAGACACCCCTCCCCCTGGGGACTTGGTAGTCTTAGGGAGCATCCAGCAGAGCAGCTACCGGGAATCGGCACAGCTTTGTGCTTGGGACCCAAGGCCTTGGTGGTGTGGACTCACAAGGGAGATCTCCTAATCCACAGGTTGTACAGATCTATGGAAAAGCCAAGCTGCCCTGACAGGGTAGCACAACCTCTCACTGCCTCCCTTGGCTGCCAGTAGGAGCTCCCCTTTCCCTCTGTGGATCTCAGGTAGGTTGTTGCACCACCCTGCTATTTCTTTGCTCTCCACGGGTCATGCCAACTGCCTAGTCAGTCCTAATGAAAGAACCTGATACCTCAGTTGCCGGTGCGGGATTCACTTGCCATTTTGATTCTTCTCTGTGGGAGCCTCCACCACAGCTGTTTCTAGTCAGCCATCTTGGCCCCTCCCCCACATTATTTTCTTAATGTTCCAATATGGTTTTGCTCAGTTCCCTAGATTTTCCTATTCCTGTCTTTGGACAGAGAGAACCAATGTTGGTATCTCATCTATATCATGTTCTAAAATCAATAATGGCTACTGGCATTTATTCTAACTGGCCTCTTTACTGACAGTTTCATAGCCTGGGAAAGGAATTGGAGCATAAGAAATGTACTGTTCTCTCATATTTAGAGCTCATTCAAAGCCCCAGTAGATTCTAAGTCATTGGGAAATCATCAGTGTATCTCTGTGCATTGCCACATCTTTATAATCTTTAGGCAGAATTTATCCAAATTGATGCATTGGTATCCAAAGATGGTGAATAAAAATGCAAACTAGATGGGTACACATTACTCATTTACCCAATATTTAATACTAGAAGTCTGGTGCATATTACTCCAAATTTTATCCAATTGCTTTTATCTCAAGTTTAAAATGACTCACAAATATTCATATAATTAGAAAGTCCAATTATTTCAGTTAGATGTATATTCATATAATTAGAAAGTCCAATTATTTCAGTTAGATGTGTGCTTAGCAGAAGGTGTCTAAGACCAAACAAAAATCTATTTGTGCACATTAAAAGATTCTGCATTTTCCCATTTTCTGTGATCTTGTATGTATTTTAAATACTAAAGGATTAAGAAGCTTTAAAAAAAAGATTGTCAAGGGTTAACCTGCATACATAAATAAAAGTGTTAATCTGAGAGAAGAAGATTTGAATTAGAAATGAGATAATTAAAAGTGAAGATATAATGGAACAAATAAGTAGATAAGGATGAAATATTTAGGGCTACCAATGAAGACAGTCTTAATAAGTTTACCATGCTATCTCATTGATTAACTTAGTGCCTACAAATTGCATATTCTTAGTGGAAACAGTAGGAAGTCTATCAGTAATGTGGTGTAAAATAAGAAAGCCAACCAGCACTTTACTTGATACAATATATTTGGGCCAATCACCAATGAACCATGACAGTAGAAACCACATTTTTAAATTAATTAATTAATGGTGTGCCCTTTAAATGACCCTGGTGTCTTTGATATTACTTTCATGGCTCTTTACATTCTAGCTCTTGATCGCCTTTCACACAGTTTTCATAATGGGCATTAGTCTGTATTGCTTCATTTGCACGCAGAGGAGGCAATCTCTGCAGTAAAGCAATAGGGGATGCATTTCCTGTTCTCCAATGTGACTTCTTTTGCATGAGGTCCCAGGAGCAAACTGGGGACTATAATTTCTTTAAAATGGATGTAATAATATTTCCACATCTATTACTTTGAAATGCTGAGTGTGTAATTATTCCATCTAATAGGAATAGGACATCTTGGTGTTATAAAATTAATATAATTCATGTTGGAAAGTACACCAAGTGTTTAAAATTATTACCACTATCTTAAGTCTTATTTCTAAGTCTCATTTATTTTCTATCAATAAAAGTATTTGACTTCCCTTTTTTGTTCCGAGCTACTTAGAGAGGGACTTTAATAGTGAGCTGTTGTCTTTGTCATCAGGTTATATATTTTTTTTAGTATATTTTATTCCCAAAAACAAGCAGTTTTCCAAAAATACTTAAATGTTTCTCAAGAGTTTTAAATACTCCCTGGCTATACCTAAGAACACTGTGACTCTATACAAATAAAATTTCACATAACTTTGGATGGATGCTTTACTATTCTGTTTTCAGTGTGTTGATCCAAAAATAACCATTAAAAAATGTCTACATCACCTGGTTAATTCAACAGCGTTGAAAAGACACTGTCTCCATCAGGGTCTGGCCTATTGTGTCCTACCCCAGGTGACTTGTCTTATAAAGACAGTCCAGATGGCATGTTCTGCCTGTTTCCCTATACCTGATAGTGAAGCTGCAAGAATGAGAAAGTATCTGTGAAGTGTTTTGAGATTTCCAGGTGAAAAGAAATCTATAAGTGAAAAGCATCATTGTTATTATAAATGGAAATATCACGAATGCCTGGGAGGTAATTCTAGAGTCCTGATCATTTTCCAAAACATAGCAGTGCCCTTTTCCTCCCACTATCCATGATCAAACAAAGAGAAAGCTCTCTCCTTTTATCCACCAAAGTGGATGTAGGGAAAACTTAAACATTTGTGCTTTGGATATTGTATTATAGATGTCCCTAACTGGCTGCATATAAATGAACATTTACTTTGACAGGTCGTTCAATATGTTCCATGCTGTCCAGCCAACATACAGTACGAAATGAAATTACAGGGCAGCACTTTCTATCAGTAGGAATATATAATTACAATGTATTTACCATGTGTATACCTGGAAGCTTTATTAAATTACCATGTAATTAAAAGGCAGTATGTCCTTCACTCAAGCTGCTACTTTTCCCAGTATGTGTGGAAGGTTCCTATAAATGTTAAAGAAACACTGATATTTTATATAGCCGTTGAGAACACAGATGAATAATCTAAAAGTAAGTGAATGCAGGTTGTTTTTATTAACCATTCATTGGACTTTAATTAATTCCCATTTTAATTGTTTCATTATTTCAGGCAAAAGAAGATAATGCTCTTTCTGGTGACCAATCACTCAGTTGGATAACTTGGTAAGTAGTTTATTAGACTGATAATATTTATGTTACCTTCTTACTTTGTTCTTTGTACTAAATTTTAAAAAGTACCTTTTGGAAAACTTGTTCCTGAAAATACCAGGCTTATAGACTGCACTAGGTTCTGTTCCACTTCACAGATCCTAACCCAATGGTAAAAGCAGAATGACAAGTGGTCAGATTTATTATGTATTTAAGTATACAGATATTAAGGAGAGAAATAGTAGATGGTGGCAAAAGAGCATTCAGTAATAAAATCTAGCAATAATTTTCTACTCTCCCCTCCCTCCCCCATATTTGGTTACTACATACTCTAGAGCAGAGATTATGAAGATCTTGTTTACTGTGTTTCCAGGGGATGACTAAGTTTCCAGGGGATGACTAAGAACAATGTATTTCAACTGGAAATGCTTAAACAGTCCAAATTTTAATTTACCCTCGAAAATATTAAAAATATTAGGGGGAAACTAATGGCTGCAGCAGAAATTTGCAATTCAAATAGCATTCATTTTTTTCTTCTGTGCAGCAAACTGCTTTCATTCAGAAAAACAACAAACAAGGCAAAGCCAAACAACCCTATATATGCTTTGAACACCTACCACACAGAGTAATGTTGAAGTGGTGCTAATTGTTGTATCACTATGATTTCTCATCTAATTTTATCAATGCTTTGCAAGGTACAGTTAATGCTTTAAAAGATTTTGAATTCAGTAATAATTACCTGGCCCTTTCTCATAATCTTGCCATGATGATTCTGATTCTTAAGGTCCTATATGTAATGAGATACTTGTATGTTAACATTGATTGGGTGCTGTTTCATCTTTTCTACACTCATAATTGGGCCTTCAGTAAAGGAGTACAACAGGAGTAATAGCACAGTTAAATTTCCTCTCAGGGTTTCTTTTACCTTCGGATGTTATAAGATTTGCACTGTTTATTTTTTCATCAAAGCTTATTAAAAATATCACATATAGATAATGCCACAATGCTCCAAGTCAGCTAAATAAATGGTGAGGTCAGCCATCTAAAAAACACATAAAGATGAATGTAAAAATAGACAAAATCGTTGGAGATCCCATCTTATAGTTCCACAAAAGAGAACCACCTGGAATTCTGCACAAGCTGGAATTTATAATGTTTCAGGCATCTCCCAGGATTCATCCCGTGATGAAAATAGCTTTGTCAGGTGCAAAGAAAATTTGGCAGAGAGGAAAATAAGTGCTAGATAGAAGATCAAATAAAGAAGAAGTAATTTGTGTACATCATTCTAAAAGAAGTTTGAAAAGTAAAAATAAAGGTAACAGAATATATATTGGAATAAACACAAAATTGATGATTTCTCTGAATGAATAGGTTGCTTTGTGATTATCTAGATGGAGTCTGAAGGGCTACATGTGAAAGGTGTGCTTCAATTTCCTCCTCAACACAGACACAAAGTTTTGCACATACTTGTGTGCCTTTGCATGGGCATGCATAACTTTTTTTTTTTTTTAACTGGAATACACTTGTATTTGGAATAGTGACAGACAGACAGGTTTGGTAGAAATAGTGAATAATTACTTTTTTGTTTTCTCTCTGATTGATTGGGTTCCAATAAAGATACAACAAATAAAACACGAATGAGTGTTTCACATATACATTCTTTTAGATTTTTACCTATGTTTGTATGTATTTTTCCCATTATTCCTCTTTTTTTCTTTTTTTTATTTATTGCCTCAGAGGAGGGATACAAAATAGAAAATGTGCAGAGCCCCCTGGCTTTGGTTTCTAAAAGCCTATAAACCCTTTCAGAAACAAAGCCTTCAGAATCTCAGTGAAATAATGGGGAGAAACATAGAGTAAAAAGGACCTTGCCATTTTAGACGAAAAACAGATTTGCTTAGCCAGTGAAGCAGGCAGAAAAGTAACATAAGGAAAGACACTGATGGATTGAAGAAAAAGGAGCTTTTGCCTTTCTCACAAACAGCTCTTGAAAAGTGCGTCCTGTAATATAAGGCAGATTAGACCACAGAAAGTCTTCAGGAAATTCCTATATCCCTGGTGTGTCCTAGTTGCAGTAGAGATAATCCCATTAACCCAACATTGGCAGGGAAACATTAGAGAGGATTGATAGACAAATTTTGCCAGCAGAGCACCGTCAATCTGTGCAGACCAATGAATAGAAGAATAAAAATTCACATTTGTCAATTCCTGAGCAGTACATATTCAAGTCATTTGAAATACCAGAAGCACTCTAAAAAGACAGACTGTGGTTCAATTTTCCCATCAAACTCCATTTTCCCAATCCTAGCAGATGAAGGCTTGAGATTAAAATAACTGTGTTTGTAGAACACAGTAAAATGGTTACTGTATACCTGAGATTGTAAACTGTTGATTTTGAATGCAGTTAGGCTCAGTTCTCAAATGGTGTATTTTCTTAGGTTAAGTTCCCATGAAAAGAGAAGTTAGGGACAAGGACGTATTTGCAGACAGTTTACTTAGGAAGTCATCCCAAGAACCCAGAGTGAGGGAGAAGGGGAAGTGAGGCAGAAAAAGAATAAAAAGCAATATAATGGTATGTCACTGTGGGTTACTGCTGCTGTTAATAAGGGCTTGATTCTTTTGGGGTTTCTGAGAAACATAGCAACAGCCTCCCAGAGTTGTTCACTGGCTCCCATACCCCACTGATGAAAGGTGGATTCTTGTAGGGGAAGTTTAAACTTTCACGCTGACAGTTCAATGATCAAGTCCTCCTGCTGAAATAAACTGGCAATAGACAAATTACCAGAAGAAAAGTCATACAAATTTATAAACATGTACATGAACCTGGAAGTCTCAAAAATGTGAGATTCAGAGAAAAGCCAGATGGTTGAGGCTTAAATACCCTCTTAATAAAAATACCCTCTTAATAAATAGGGAAGAGGGAAAAGGGAGAGGTGGGCACTTGTGAGGGGTAGCAAATGATTTTTAGGGGAAAATGAATGGGCCTAAACAGACATGGCCTGAAATAAAGTTTTTCTGAGCTCTAGGGGAGGTGGTGAGAAGGTGCGGGGAAGAACTTCACTGTGAACAAAGTTTTCTTACTACACAGATAAAGTCTCCCAGGTAATCTCTTGAAGCTGCTCTCAGAACAGATGAAAAGTATGTGGGGCATAATGTGTTTTAGTCTTTTCTGCTGTAGTTAATCTTTCCTGGTTATTTGATGAGATTCCTAGGGAGAGAGTCTTAAGACAATTGCTTTCTTTTTTTTTTTTTAGAAGAAATTTTTATTAGATAAGGGAACATTCAGAGAGATCACCTCCCTGCACTTGGGGAGGAAAAGCAAGACAAGGTTAGAAAGTCCTTGTTTCTGAGGCAGCTTCTAAGACCTTCCAATTTCCTTCAGTTCAACAGTGCTCAGCATGCCAAAGCACCTTACTTTGAGAGTCTCATTCTCTGTGCCCCAGCACTTCTGAGAACATTAACTCTTATGTCTGCATTATGTTTTCACTTAGGATGATTGGAATTCTGTGGCTTTTGAGAAGGCCCGGAAGCACAAAAGCAGAGAAAGGCACACAGTAGGCGTGGAAATATTCACCACCATGGCATCGAAAATTAGAGTTGGGCCAACCAAAAAGGATAAGGAACATAAAAAGCATCTGCTATACTCCCATCATTTTATGACTCAGGTTCACTTTTGCTCAACATTATGTACATTTCTTATTGATTCTTGCACATAGGGCCAGACACAATCTCTACAATGAGCTTAAGTAAGGAAGGATTAGTGGAACATGCTACAGGCCCTACTGTTACAAACAGTGCTGAAACCATGTAAACTCCTCCTTTTCCTGTTTTCACCAATTGTACATTCAGTACAATTTTGCCAGCCCTTTAGCTGTGCTGTATTACTTGCATGCTGAGGTGACTCAGCCCTCATCCCTGAGGGATCCCAGCACCAGGTTTCCTTGGCTTTGGTAATCTGTAGCTGCTGACACAAAAGCATCAAGAAAATCCCCCAGTGAACTTCTTGAGTCCTAAAGATGTTTTATCCTGCCTCCCATTATGAAGCAGCAACCCTTGCTCTTAGGAAAAGCAAGGTAAAAATAAAACAGTATGAATAGTCCCAAGGTGATCAGAATGCAGTTATAAGTTTAAAGGAAAATTTGTTGTATTCCCTTATGGAAGCACCTCCCACTCCCAACACACACACTCACTCTCTCTCTGTCTCTCTCTATTGGCTACCAAGGCCTCTACTCTAAAAGAGGATGAGAAATACAAATGCTGAAAGTGGCTCACTAGGAGTAATGGTGAGAAAGATCAATTTTTCTTCCACAACTTGACCAGCAGAACTGTTTATTTTATATATATATTCTAGCCACTAGAGACTAAGCATCATATATTGGCTACTAGTTTATTGCATATATTGTATTCTAGAAGACAGAAACCCAAATCTGTGGGATGCTATTCTTGAACTTTAGAGGAGCTTTTAATTGGCCTAACATTCTATTAGACTAATTTCATGTAAGGTGGCATATGGTAAGATAAATGAGTTATGTGATCATGCATTAATTGTTATTTTTTCTTTACTTTAAACTTGGCCAATTAGTCTGACATGATGTTATACAACAGCAGTCTTCAACACTTTTGGCACCAGGGACTAGTTTCATGGAAGGCAATTTTTCCATGGATTGGGCATGGAGTTGGGGGGGCTGGTTTCAGGATGATTCAAGCACATTACATTTATTGTGCACTTTATTTCTATTATTATTACATCATAATATATAATGAAATAATTATACAACTTACTATAGTGTAGAATCAGTGGGAGCCCTGAGCTTGTTTTCCTGCACCTAGATGGTCCCATCTGGGGGTGAAGGGAGACAGTGATAGATCAGCAGGCATTAGATTCTCATAAGGAGTGTGTAACCTAGATCCCTCACATGCATAGTTCACAACAGTGTTTGCACTCCTATGAGAATCTAATGCTACTGCTGATCTGACAGGAGGCGGAGCTCAGGTGGTAATGCAAGCCATGAGGATGGCTGTAAATACAGATGAAGCTTTGCTCATTTGCCCGCTTCTCACCTCCTTCTGTGAAGCCTTGTTTCTAACAGGCCATGGACAGGTACCTGTCCATATGATGTTCCCTAGGGGTTGTGGACCCTTGTTATACAATATTCCATGTCAATTATCAAATATTCTGTAAATACTATGATCATGCTGCTGTAAAATCTCTTTGAGAAGAAAAACCTATGCCTAGAGTAAGTGTCAAGTCTAATAAGGATCCATAATTGCCAGAGTCAAAGGATCTAATATCAGCTTCACACCAAGTACCAAGCTAGTCTCCTCAAGGGATTTTGCCACATCAAAGTCTCACACTTGGATTGTGCTTCTGATATGCCTGGTGTTCAGCCATTTCGGTAGCTGGATCAGCTTACTTAAGAAGGAGACTTTGCTCTTGGGACCATACACTGACTTCATTCAAGATAAATATACCTTTTCTAAGCCTATTGCACAAGCAATAGAGTGACAGAACACAAACGCTGGCTAGAGTCCACTGAATGAGTAATTCTGTATACCTGCTATTGGGCACCTTCTTTGCAGTGGTATTTCTCTGATGTTTATTTATATGATACACAAATATCCCATATATTTTATGCCCATTTGTGTAAATTCATGCATAGACATCTACCCAAAGCTCCTTAGATATGATGTTCCCGTATTTTTTTTTCAGTCCACTGACCACAGCGAAGCTATTTGCAATTTTTCAGGAGTCCGTATGCATCCCAACCTCATATCAATTCTCTTACCAAAAACACTGGCAAAAAAAGATGTACGTTTAAAGTTGTCCACTAAAAACAGTTAGTGTTATTTAGGGCCACTTCTGGAACAAGCTTTAGAGGGGCAGAATAACATTGTCAGCTTGCACTGATATAGTTAGACAAAGCATCACCCAGCAAGCCTGAATGCTTTCTTCTCATTCACCTGGTTATAAGGAATGCTGCACAAGGCCATAGCCATGACCACTGGTGCAACCTACTGAAGCAGTATGGGTGTCTGATCTATGTGTTCATGAAACTGACTTTCAGTCTCTAGACCTGCTTGTGTGTGTTTCTAAATGAAATGTATTATTTTCATCACATGATAGATTGCTCATTATTAGCATAAAGTTATCAATAAAGAGTTCAAATACAGTGTTCTACAGAATGTGAAGATGATTAACATTCCTGTGGTCTGTATTATGATGGAGATCAGAAGAGTTACCTTAGCCCTGAGTCAACTGAATGTATATTTCTGTCTTTCCCACATAATAAAAGCAAACTGAATTGTATCCTCCTTATTGATGGGGTTTGAAAAGACCATACTATCAGGTAAACAATTCCATACCAAATTGTTGATGTATTCCGAAAAATAAATCATCCCTATCAGAAAAGTTAAACCACTTCTATATCAGAAAAGTAGGATATCAGTTTATTCAGTTTTTATAGTAATTACTAGTCACCCAAAACAATCCTCTAATTTTTGTAAGTGTTATACATTCTTTAAATTTTTGAAAATGGTGTTCATCTATAACATGTAATGGATTACAGGGTACCATTATACTTCAGGTTTCACTGTGAGAATGAGGATTGTTTTAGAGGCTTACATTTGGCCCTACCTACCGTAATATTAATATAGGGATCATGAAACCAATGTGAGAATCCTGGCAGCTGCTAAAAAATCAACTCCAATTATGCTCCTCTCTATACTGCACAAAATATTTAAAAAGTATTTGAAGACACTGGAGAAGAATCAAAGCAGGAAGAAATCTGAGGAATACGATTCTTGGAAAAAGAGATGCACTAGGTAAGCTTCATACTTACCTGCCTTTCTGTTTGGGGGTAAAGTAGGGAATCCCCTTAAACAATATGTTGCAGTCTTAGTGGACAGAGAAGAAAGAGTCATCTTTCATGGACTCTAGATTTTGTGCATTACTGGAATTCAATAAAAAAAAGTATGATTACTTTTTTAAAAAGGATTAGTTATTTTAAAACTAAGAAAAGCAATAAAAGTGACTCAATAACAAGTTGTTTAGATATTAGAGTTGAAGCAGAATTTTAACTATTAAAATGTATTAAAATAGAGGAAAAGATTATCAAAATTGAAGACAACAAAATAAAAAAATCTGGTTTAGAACTTAAAGCATATATGCAGAATCAAAGGCCCATTGAATGGATAGTTGAAAAGTCTGGGCACAGTAGAAAACAGGATTTGTGAATTCAGTGACAGGTCAATAGAAACATATCTAGACTGAAGCACAGAGAAAAATAAAATGTAAAGAATAGAACAGAGTGTAAAAGGTATGTGATACATAGTCAAAGGCCTAACGTGTATAATTGGCAGCCTATAAAGGGAGGAGAGAGGGAATGAGGAAGAAGCAACATTTGAAGAAATAATGACTGAAAATACACTAAACTTGACAAAACATCTCAACCCACACATTGCAGAAGATCAGTGAAGCCAAAACAGGAGAAATACAAAGAAAAATCCCACTTAGACGCATCATAGCCAAATTGCTAAACATCAAAGTTAAAGAAAACCTTAAAGGAGCTAGAGAAAATAGATACATTATCTTCAGAGAAGCAATCGTAAAACTGGTGTCTGGCTTTTCAACAGAAACTATGGAATCTGAAAACAATAAAATGACATTTTTTAAAGCATTGAACAAAAAAAGAACTCTAATCTTAAACTCCATACCTAGTGAAAATATTCTTCAACAGTGAAGTCAAAATGAAGACTTTTTCAGACAAAACCTGAGAAAATTGATCATCAGAAGACCCATGCTGCATAAAATAAGTGAAATCCTAAAGAAAGTTTTTCAGGCTGAAAGAAAATAATTTCAGATAAAGGCTTTGAACTACATGAAAGAATGAAGGATTCCAGAAAGAATAAAGTTGTGACAAAGACTTCATGACTAAAACACCAAAAGCCATTGCCACAAAAGCAAAAATTGATAAAAGGGATCTAATCGAACTAAACAGCTTCTGCACAGCAAAAGAAACTATCATCAGAGTAAACAGAAAGAATGGGAGAAAATTTTTGCAAGTTACCCATCTGACAAAAGTCTAATATACAGAATCTACAAGGAACTTGGAACTTAAACAAATTTACAAGAAAAAAACAACCCCATCAAAAAGTGGCTGAAGGGTATGAACAGATAATTCTCAAAAGAAGACATTTATGCAGCCAAAAACATATGAAAAAAAGCTCAAAAGCACTGGTCATTAGAGAAATTCAAATGAAAACCACAATGAGATACCATCTCACGCCAGTTAAAATGGCGATTATTAAAAAGTCAGGAAACAACAGATGCTGGCGAGGTTGTGGAGAAATAGGAACGCTTTTACATTGTTGGTGGGAGTGCAAATTAGTTCAACCATTGTGGAAGACAGTGTGGTGATTCCTCAAGGATCTATAACCAGAAATACCATTTGACCCAGCAATCCCATTACTGGGTATATACCCAAAGGATTATAATTCACTCTACTATAAAGATAGGCACAGGTATGTTTATTGCAGCACTATTTACAATAGCAAAGACTTGGAACCAACCCAAATGCCCATCAATGATAGACTGAATAAAGAAAATGTGGCACATATACACCATGGAATACTGTGCAGCCATAGGAAAGAATGAGTTCATGTCCTTTGCAGGGACATAAATGAAACTGGAAGCCATTATTCTCAGCAAACTAACAGAGGAACAGAAAACCAAACACTGCATGTTCTCACTTATAAGTGGGAGTTTAACAATGAGAACACATGGACACAGGGAGGGGAACATCACACACCCGGGCCTGTTGGGGGGTGGGGGGCAAAAGGAGAGAGAGCATTAGGACAAATACCTAATGCATGTGGGGCTTAAAACATAGATGATGGGTTGGTAGGTGCAGCAAACCACCATGGCACATGTATACCTATGTAACAAACCTGCATGTTCTGCACATGATGTATCCCAGATCATAAAGTAAAATTAAAAAAAGATGTGAGTAAATGTGAAAGAACACTAACTGTATAAAACAATAATAATAGCTATGTCTTGTGTAACAGATATAGAAGAAAACTATATGATAGCCAAACCACAAAATCAGGAGGGGTAGAGTTAAACTTTTAAAGTTTCTTGCATTGTTCTGGAAGTGGTAAATACACTAATAAAAAGGCAATAATTAGACAAATATACACATCTTGGATATCTACTAAAAGGACAACACAAAAATTACTAAAATTCAATAAAAATTACTAAAAATTTTTAGTAAATTACTAAATTACTAAAAAATTTTAGTAAATTACTAAAAGTTACTAAAAATTCAATAAAATACTTATTCAATTATAATTTTGTAGTCAAAGTAGGGGAGAAAAAACCATAGGGTGTAGCTGAGGGGCCTTTGCACACACTGTTAGATGGAAGTTCGCCATGACCATATTTATCACCTGTCATTTTATAAGCTCCCACCAAATCAGAGCTCCATGATGGTATTTTGAGTCTCCTGGCGTCAGTGTCAGATCAAACCCTGTATCTGTCACCTCTCATAAGTTATGTGATTAATGGCTGCAGGTCCACTTGCAGAAGGATTGGCAGGTTGGTTATTGTGTTGACTTTCAATGGCACTTCATGGTCCCTACTACCCAAGTAGAAATTGGCCTCCCATCCAAATGGCAGGATCTGTATCTGAAAACTGGAGATGGAAATACTTTTCTCTTAAGACTGCTGACATCAGGCTTCTCACAAGCTCTGTCATTTTTCTGTTTTTACAAGTCAAGCAATACGCTCATCAGCTGCTTCTCTATCTTACCCAAGAACCCCATGTTTTCTTAGCCATTAACATAGACCTCTGCATGAAAAAGCACCTTGGTTTTTGCTTTAGTCTTGCTGTCATTAGAAGAAAACTGTTCACTTTGCCTTTTATGGTTGAGTTTCACCACATGGTCTCTGTTATTTCCATTGACACTAGGGAACTAAGCTCCAAGGCAACTCTCTCACCACCAACCCTGCGGTACAGAGGACAGTCACCCTAAACCAAGCAGGAGTTCTCACAACCTAGACAGTTCCCAAGAAATTACCCAGGCATTTCTACTTTACTCACAAATCTGAGGGTCCCAAATAAAGGTCCAGACTTTACCCTGGGCTGCCTGTCGAGGTTTTACGTTATTTATTTGGCTATTCTGCTAGCAATTAAACTCTGAGCCTAATTTTCAGCACAGCACTGACTTCACGGAAAGACCTCTAACAATGCCAAGAAGATCTTCAGACTTTATCATGTTCTGATACTTGAGACCTTATCATTCTCTTTCTTTCTTAAAGTCTTTTAAGAAATTTAACAAAAACCACCCACCTCCTAATTTTTATTGCCATTGTCCCACACCATTCAAGGGCTAGAACTAATGCATAAGTTAATATGTCCTCTTTCAATTGTATTTAATTTTAGTCCATCATAGGTGAGGCTCTTGGTGGTTGTGATATTGCTTTACACATCAGAGGTTATCATCATTCTGTTTATTTCCAGTAAGAACTCATATCTGAGCAGTGAGAGATCCAGTTCCAAAATCCCACCTCAAGAATAAGTTTTTCAGGACCACGTCTGGGACAACTGTCTTTGTTTAGGCATGCTCAATTATAGAGCTTGAAAGAAAATTTGTGAGGGGAACTATAAAATAGTTGAGAGAGAGAATGAAAAAGAAAAATTTAAATTAAGGACAAGTATTCAAAGTAGGTCTGAGGGTAACAGGGACTCAATTCTACTGGCCCTTCTGAGAAGCATACAAAATACCTCCCAGTATTATATGTCCAATAAGCATGAGAGCACCCACCTACTGAGAGTTGCTTCTGGAAGCATTAACTCCTCTGCATTTTAGGACTGAAACAAATATGTAAACTGAACGAATTTCTCAATTTTAGGAAAATGCTCTGAGGTTGAAAAGGAGAGAGACGTTTTCATCATTTGAAATGGAAGTCTTTCAATATGCATGAAACTATCTACCACAGTTGGGGCTAAAATCAAAATAGGCCCAAGAAACCAAAATCGTGTACAAACTAATATGCTTACACACAGGGTTCTGGATCTGCCTTAATCAGGGTCTTTGCAAACAGAGTGAAAATTAAAACATACACATTAGACCTTATTGGTTTACTCAGTCACGTGAGATGACTTGGAGCAGACAACTACCGTACATTGAAGAATCTGCTGAGGAGAAGTAGAGGGATACTTTTTGGCTCTCTTCTTCCATTTCTCTCACCAATTACCCACAAGGCTTTAAATTGCTGCATTTCCTAGCTGTTGTCACCAGGCCTCTCTGGATATGAGTGTGGAAACTAGATGCTGTTCTTAATGGAATGGTGCTTTATCTGAGTGACTTGGGAGTTGAGTCAAATAGGAGCTTCTGTGTGTCTGGTTCTTTCAGGCTTGATTACTAATGCTACTTTTGCTCCCACCAGAGTTGACATATGGATACCATGCCAGAAAAGGACTCTAACTTCAGAAATCAAAACCAACTGGGACTATTAGGTGATGTAACAGCAGTAACTGAGTCTCCTTAATGACCAAGTAGGGACTGGGAGGCAAGTATATTTGGTATGCAAATAGATTATTTCTTCTGGGGCCTATGTATCAATACAATCAGTACATACAATGCATATATATGTCACTCACAGGTTATAAGTTATTTCTAATTTATAATCAGATATCAATTATATCAATTCTATTTTCCCTTCAAGGAGCAAATGTACAAGTTTTAAAACAAAGTAAGGCTGGTGCTGTTTTCTATTTATGTTATTTCTTTCTTTATTTTGTTATGTGATTGATTGGCTTTTTTGCCCTGGGTCTTTATGGCTGTGGACCCAGGAAATGCATAAAATGATGCCCTTGATAGGTGAATCTATGTTAAGCTGCTGTGAGACATGCCTGGTCACTCAAGCTGTGCTGTATTCCAATAGAACTTTGGTGAAAATTTCCTCATTTAAAAAGTCTTATGTACCATATTGTGGTAATATCCAGGTCAATGTGAAAGTTAAACAGCAAAACTTATTAAAAAGTGGAAACCTTTTATGGCTATTTGCTGGTTTGTAGCATTTTAATTTTTCCCCTTTTCTTTTTCTAAATAGGTGGCAAGATATATTGCATCCAAGCTGAGAACTTAAGAAAACTACCCATAATGACATCACAATTATATGTGTTGCTTCAATTATTAGTTTACTCAATCACCAGTTCCCAGAAGATATTATTGAAAGGGTTACATTATTGAAATGCTAAACAAAGGTGGTACTTGGTACCATATGTACTTGAGAAAACAAAATCTGACTGGTAGGAAATTTTTATGCGTGCCATTCCTCTTTGAACTTGACATTAGGTCTGTTTGTTACACAAGAATATATCTGAGTCCTGTCTGAGATAAAGGATACTACTCTGAAGATGCAAAGAATATGTGGACCTTAAGCTGGCCTTACAATACTCTTTTCTTGTTTTAACGTATTGCAAGTCAAATTTAGCCTGACATTTTATCAGATTGTTTAATTTCAGGAATATGCATCCAATCATTCTGATGGCTCTTTCTTTAAAATTCTCCATGATTTTTTCTTTTTTTTTTAAATTAAGTTGGCAGAACAGAGATCCAACCCTTATTTTCAGTAAAATCAAAGCAATTGCTGATTAGAAAAAAGGGAAGAAACATTCAAACCTCATGATGATAGATGATATTACCAACCTTGAGCTTCATATAGTTACCCCCTAAGTTCCTTAGCAATGGATAGATTGAAGCATCCTTTAAATCCCGTTCCCTTTTCTAGTTTGAGTAATTGTTACAATGAGATTGCCTAGCGTATTTGTCTCCAGAAGTCACATGTACCATATCTTCAGGCATCAAAACCTTGGTTTGCATATGCAAAATGTCCCAAATTTGATATAGTTCAGAATCACATACAAAAGTTATGAGGCCCTAGTGTAAAACTTCTGGAATGGTGGAATGAAAATCTTTATAAATCAGCTCCTCATAAAGCAATTAAATTTCTGGCAACATTGTCAAAATCAAAATTTTCACAACTCAGGAAATTAAAAACAAAATCAATAGACACTGTCTCAGCAGGCATCCAGATGCTGGACTTAGTATACAAGACTTTACATTTGACTCTTATAAATATGTTTGAAGAGCTAAGAAAACATTGCCTAAAATATGACAATGATGTCTCACCAAAAAGAGAATCCTGGTTAAGAGACAGAAATTTGTAAAAGAACCAAATATGCATTCTTGAAAAATGAGGCATTACCAATCTTATAAAAATAAAATGAATTATAACAAAATAATATGACACATCAAAATCATCACTATCCAAAGACAAATACAAAGAGAGGATTTTGAAAGCAGCAAAAGTGGAGACTCATCACAGACAAGAGATCCTTAATATGATTAGCAGGTATTTATAACCAGAAACCATGAAGGCTGTAAGGAAGTGGGAAAACATATTTAAAATGAAGAAAAATTTTAAAAATCAGGAATTCTCTACTCAGCTATTATCCTTGGAAAATGAAACAAAATTATCCTTGGAAAATGAAACAGAAATTAAGACATTCCTGCCACTAACAGATATTCCCTACAGGAAATACTAGTGGGATCTCATCAAGCCAACATGAAAGTATGCCTGAATCCAAATGATAAAATTAAGCATATCAGTGTGGCAGGCTGAATAATAGCCCCTAAAGATATCAATTTCTTAACCCCTAGAACCTGTAAATGTCGCTCTATTTGACAAAAGGACTTTGCAATGTGTTTAAATAAAGAATCTTGAGATGGAAAAAGTATACTAGATTACTAGGTAGGCTCTAATTATAATCACAAGTATTTTTATAAGAGGCTCTAATTATAATCACAAGTATTTTATAAGGAAGACTCGACTACATAGGCTGAGAAGGCAATGCGATGATGGAAAACAGATTGGAATGATGCGCTACGAAGACAAAGGAAGAGGCCACAAGCCAAGAAATAGGGTGGGCCACTAGAAGCTGAAAAACTCAAGGAAAAAGATTCTCACCTCAGAGCCACTAGAAAGAACTGGGCCTGCCAAGAAATGTACTTTGGCCAGGGAAACTGACTTCAAGCTTCTGATCTCCAGAAATGGGATAGAACAAATGTATGTTGTTTTAGGCCACCAACTTTGTGGCAATTTCTTGCAGGTCAATATAGATAAATATAAAGGAGAGTAAGTATAAATATATATTTGTAACTCTTCTGTCCGATTTAAAAGGTAGCTGTATAAAGCAATAACTATAAAAACTCTGTTGGGTTCTACTGTATAAAATTGCAATATGTATTACAGAAACAGCACTAAGGAAATTGAAAGGAATGGGGCTATATGGAAAAAATTCTGTATACTACTGAAATTAAATTAGTAATAAAACTAGATTTTTTTTTGTTAAGATGCTAATTGTAATACCCAAGGCAACGACTAGGAAAATAACTAAAATATACAGAATTAAAGAAACAACAACATAATTAAAATAGTAAACTAGAACATACCTAGTTGACATTCAAAAATTCAGTAGTGTAGAAATGGAGAAACAAAAAAGGCAGGACATATAGAAAACAATCGGAAAATAGAAGACATGAGTCCTAATTTATCAGTAATTATATTAAATTATCTCATTGTTTCTTTTATTCATATTTTTAATTATTATCTTAGTGGCTGCCTTGAATATTATAATTAGTATCTATATATCACCACATGAAGTAAATCTAAATTAATGTTGACTGTACAAAATACTCTTACTGTCCTATCAGGTTTAAAATACACATAAAAATAAAATATGTCACAAGAACACCACAGGTGATGGTGAAATGAAATAAAAATATTTTAGTATCTCAGTATTGCCTGAGGTAATAAAAGAATAAAGTTTAGGTTTCCACTTGGGGAAACATAATGATATAATTTCTGGGGTATTTTTGAAAGAAATTTTTTTAAAGTATAAATAATCTGCAAATAGAAAAGATAATGGATTAGCAAAAAAAAAATACTTCATTAATCTAATATGAGACAAGAAAGGAGACAAAAAGGGGAATAATGGGACAAATAAAAAGTAATAAATGGTAGATATGTAACCAAATAGATCGATGATTACATAACATGTATACGAACTATTTTACTAAAAAGAAAATCATTAGACTACATAAAGTATAAAACTCAACAATATGATGCTTACAAGAGACATCATTAATTAAAAGGCAGAAATGTTTTGAAATAAAATCTATGGAAAAAGAACAAAACATACCATTCAAACACTGACCAAAAGACAAAACCGATTTCAAGGTAAGAAATATTGCTATAGATTGAGAGCAATGTCATAACAATAAAATGAACAAGTCACCAAAATAATATATCAATTCTAAATTGCCACATACCTCATAATATATCAATTCTAATATATCTAATATATTGCCACAAGCCTCATAACAAGCTTATAAATATTTAAGCAAAAGTTACAACATTAAAAAGTGACTTTAACATATTTCTCTTGGTAAACATAAAAGCATTTGCCTCAGTGTATCAAAGCAACTATACCAAGAACCAGCGTGATTGAAATATGACATCAAAATTAGAGATAAGGAGCTGATAAAACTTGCTTAGATTATATGAAAATATTGTGAATACCTTTTAGGTTTAAGTATATTTTGCTTTGTTTTAAAGCCTGGAATAGAGTTCAAGACACAGAGTCACTTATATTAGATGCAGTGATTTTACAATCTCCCTGCGGGAGCTTAATGCCTTGATCAGCTACTTATAAACATGAGTAGAATAATCCAGGAAATTAGTCGTGCTGTTATTTTCTTATTTGTATTACTTTATATGAAGACTCAACACAGTACCTGGCAAATAAAAATTATTAAATAAATGTTATTTGCCTATTTTTATCTCATTTACCCTTCACAATCACACTAAGATTTCTTATGTTAATTTTAAAAATAAAGAAACTGAGTCACATGGCAGAAAATTAGCAAAAGTCACATAGCTAGTGACCTGAAGCTGAGATTCAAACCCAGGTTCTCTAACACACACACACACACAAACACTCTTAATCATATGCTCTATGGCCTCATAATTATTATTCCAAAAGCCAAATGCTTATTTTGTGATGATGACCAAGAGGAGAATAGTTAATATACATTAAATGTTTAAAATACTATGTTTTTTCCTATACATACATATATATGATAAAGGTTAATTTATAAATTAGGCACATTAAGAGATTAACAATTAACTATGATGATTATTTGACATATATCTCATTATTATATCATATTATTATAAGCAATATTAAATAGTTTCTACTTTTATCTGTCAATAGTACCATTTGTCTCCTAATCAAATGACATACATATTAGTATTCACATTATATAGTACTTTTTCCTCTTGAAGGCACAGAGATTTCTGACTCGGTTTAAAATCATTTTATCATGTCTTAAATCTGTTTATTCTGAAATATTCAATATATAAATGAAATATATATGTTATAAAATATAATAAAATGGTCAAATATGTTTCACCACTGTTAAATTGAAATATGTTTGGCCTAAACCTACCTTCACACATATTTTAAGTTTGGCCTAAAGGTTTCTCTGTAGGTAGTGAACTGTGAACTTGATGTATAAACAGACTGTAACGCAACATGAAAGTATACTCTTCTAACAAATAGCCAAGTCTCAGCTAATCATAGCAGCTAAGCCCCCAGCCAATCAGAGGCTGAAGGCTAACGAAACATTACCATATAAGACAAATGCCGACTGTAACCATTTAGATTATTTCTGTATGTCACTACCTTTTCTCTGGATATAAATATAGCCTGCACATGTGGTGGGTGGGATGGATCGTTATAAACCATTTTTGGTCAGGACTGCTGCCTGATTCATGAATCATTTCTTTGCTCAAATAAACTTGGCTAAATTTAATTTGTCTAAAGTATTTTTTTAACAACCACACAGCTTATAAAACAACACTATTGAAGCCTTGTGTTTTTCCCTGATCACATCCTCCCTTCCTTCCCAATCAGGATAGCCACTATATGGGGTGTATGATTATCATCATTCTTTTACTTAAAGAATAATTATAAAATAGGCGAGTATTCCCATATGAAATGGGGGCTCGTAAGCCCCCATTATCCATGAGGCATGCTTCCAAGATCCCCAGTAGGTGCCTGAAACCACTGATAGTACTGAATGAACTCTACATATACTATGTTTTTCCTACACACACATACATACATATGATAAAGGTTAATTTATAAATTAGGCCCAGTAAGATATCAACAATAACTAATGAAATAGAGCAATTGTAATAATTATATACAGCAATAAAAGTTATGTGAATGAGGCCTTTATTTCTCTCTGTTATACAGTAGCTTATTGCATTATACCAAGGGTAACTGAAACTGTAAAATGCAAAATTGTGGATAAGGGAAGGCCACTGTGCTCTTTAGTTTTATACATTTTGAAATTTATATAAATGGTGTTAGACTGAGTTTCTTCTACTGTGACGTTATTTTATGAAGCAACATTGTTGATGTGATTCATTCATGTTGATACAGGTGGCTCATTTATTTCCAAGGCTGTATCAAAATATACCGTAATTTATTATCCCTTCTGTCAGTGGACATTTAGTTTGTTTTCAGATTTTTGCTATTATAAGGAATGCTGCTACAAACATTTTTTTTTATGTCTTTTGGTGCAGTGATGAAAGAGTTTTTTCAGAGTGTAGATACCTAAGAGTGAAAATAATGATTGGTGAGAATGTGCAGTTTCAACTTTACAAAATATGCCATATTATTTCTCAAAGTCCTTGTACTGATTTAGATGTATTCATGTAATAGTTCTCATTGTACTATATCTTTATCAACATTTGGAGCTATTTAATTGCCTTACATCTATCTATCTACTTATCTACCTGATGATATATAGAGATATAGATATGATATCTATTTAAATATCTATAGATCTACAGATCTACATCTATCTCTATTTGTATATTAATTTTAAACTACATCTATCTACCTATAACGAGAAAATTTATAGTTGACTCCACACCTATGTTGAAATTTGTGGTGCATGAAATAGGGATTTACCCAAGAAATCAAAAATTGGAGGTATGTGGGAAAAGGCATTTGAGGGTTTATGTAAACTTAAGAACGCTGAACACTATGGTTCAGCCATACAAGAATAAAAGAAATGCTTCAATGTCAGGAAAACAGACATCAAAAGCCCCTAAGAGCCTGAAAAATCCCTCGGGATCTGGATGATCATTCAGAATTCAGCACTGCTTTTGAGAGCTAGTGCTCTCACTGCCTTTGCAGCAGTAGTAAATTATTAAACTCTACCATTGGACACTTTCTTTCTTGTTATTTTCTAAATAGTGGGATCAGAACCAAAAAGATATTCAGAAATTAACAGAATGAGATATATATATATATATATATATATTTGTATTATATATATATATATATATATATGCATTTATTTCTAGTTCAATCTCAAGACACGTACTTACCCAATTATTTGTTATTCTAATTGGCCAAAGATCTCCTAGAAATTTGCTTATTATTTTATACAAATATAAAATCAGACTATACATTGTCATTTGTACCAGCTTTTTGCAGTTGATATATTTTAATTACAAGCTCACATTATTAGATGTTCTTCTTCAACATGATTTGGCTGCCTATAACATTCTACATTATACTTATATGTACTTCTAGTTCCATCTCTTACCTTGTGTTCTTTCTGGGCCCCTTTCTCTGCACACCCTATCCTCATCCACAGGACCATTGTATTGTCTGTCCTGCACCACAGGATATTGCTCTGGTGTGCCATTTAGGCTGCTCTACTCCAGCCTCTGATCATCCCTGCTTTCATTGTTCTTCCTCCTTAAATTCTGTCAATCAGAATTCACTTTTGCTTCATTCCAGTCTAATTGGTTACTCACAGTGGGGAGTACTGGGTGCTCCTAGCTGGATAAGTTACCATTCATATGTGCATTTCTATCCAGGAGCTTTGGAGAAGATGTCCTAAGTATAAGAACTGGTGAGATTTCATGGCACTGTGACAAGGTAGAGCAATAGTGGGATTTAAGGCACTGTGATATGATAGATGTGAAACCACATGACTCTCTTTACAGGACTGCAAAATAAGGTTTAGTGTTTCTACCTTATATTTATGGTCAGCCCTCTATGTTGGCTTTTATTTTGTAACAATAAATCAAAGCAGTATCACTTAGAAATTCATTCAGATATAATGTGAATGTGCATGAGGAAAAGACTGATCACTAAAGTAAAGCCTTTTTAAACTTTTTAAAACTCATCTTAGCTGCGTATGGATAACATTGCCAGAAATTAAAAGAAACTGGTTGAATAAGGGGCTTTTAACTTTCTTAGGTCAACTTTTGGTGAGATCCCTATCTATAATTTACATTCTTTATTGAGTAAGGAAATAGGCTATACATCAAATAGTCTAGATTATCAAAACTTCATAGATTAAAAGTTTCTAGATGATTTGATGATGCTACTGAAGGCTGGGAGCTTTTTAGTGAGAAGGAGAGTTCAACTGTAACTGTCCTCTTTCAGCAACACTGGAATGAGTATCAAACTCAATTTGAATCCTAATAGTCCCTAGCTATACAGATTTTACAGATTTATTTGGATTTTGCTTTACTGAACTTACTATTCATGCTCTGTACAGCTAAGTAATATTTTTCAGACCAAACCTACACATTGATGATCCTCAAATGACATAGGTTTTATTTAATAATACCTTAAGTCAGCAACATGCACCAGTCACTGCCCCCGCCCCATCATGATACACATGTACATACACAGATTAAATATATCCCTATTAATCTCTATTAAGGACTTTTCTTCTTTTTTTTTTTTTTTTTTTTTTTGAGATGGAGTTTTGCTCTTATTGCCCAGGTTGGAGTGCAATGGCATGATCTTGGCTCACCGCAAACTCTGTCTCCTGGATTCAAATGATTCTCCTGCCTCAGCCTCGCGAGTAGCTGGGATTACAGGTATGCACTAGCACGCCCAGCTAATTTTGTATTTTTAGTAGAGATGGGGTTTCTCCATGTTGGTCAGGCTGGTCTCGAAATCCTGACCTCAGGTGATCAGCCCACCTCGGCCTCCCAAAGTGCTGGGATTACAGGTGTGAGCGACTGCGCCTGGCCCTTCTTCTTTGGTTTTTTTTTTTTTGTTTGTGTGTTTGTTTTTTGAGACAGGGTATTGCTCTGTTGCCCATTGGTGGAATCATGGCTCACCACAGACTCAACCTCCAGGACTCAGGTGATCCTCCCACCTCAGCCTCCCAAGAAGCTGGGACTATAGGCACACACCATCACGCCTGGCTATTTTTTGTATTTCTCTTAGAGACTAGGTTTCACCATGTTGCCCAGGCTGGTTTCAAACTCCTGGCCTCAAGTAATCCAACTGTCTCTGCCTCCCAAAGTGCTGGGATTATAGGCTGAGGAGTTTTCTTTTTAATAAATCACTTAGTTCCATTATTTAACCTCCATATCCTGTGATAACCTGCATTTCATGACCTGTCCTTAAAGCCAGGAGAATAAAGTAACTGAAATTAGTGTGTGTTAGTGATCTCTTTTGTAGTTCAAGAGACTTCTAGATACGAAGTAATATACATGAGATCAGCTTCTCCCAGTTATGCTGCTAGCCACAGGCAGTAAGTAATTGCCTGAAGCACCTCTGCCCTTAGGGTGTAACCCCAGATGGCACCTGTGGGGAGGTGGGGGGTGCAGAATATTGGAAATACTGCTGCTCTCTTTTTGGAAGTATGACTGGGGTCCTGAAGATTACTTATTGAAATTTGTAATTACAGCTTATAAGGATAAAAGAAACCCAAAGAACATTTTCCAACCTTTTTGAGTTTCCTTTATCCACTTTTTCTTTAAGTGAGAGATTAGTTTTGAGTATATGTCTCGTTTGTTAAACAAGAAATTTTCTTTCATTGAATTCTGGAGCACTCTGCCAGACACTGCACTCCTTTATCATCTTGACAATATTCACTGGTAATATCTTCAGTTAGTAACAAATCTAAGATTATTTATAATGCCAGGTTATTAAATCTGCAAATCTCCAATCTCTTCTCAATTTAATGATTTTTATATTGAATAATTTTAGGATTAGATGTAATAAACATTATCAATGATAAATTTTTATTGAGCTGATTTGTTTGCATTGGAAATACTGTGATTATTTAGGTGATCAGTAGGAAATCTGAGGACATACCCTTTCATTTTCTATGTCAATATTTCCCAGAGTTGTCTTTGTATTCTTACATGCTATTGTCCAGTGTGATTACTAAAAACTGATTCTTAGACTGCATTTCGGACCCGTTTAATCAGATTCATGGGGAAAGGGGTGAAGAAATCTGCCTTTAACCTGCATTTAATATACATTCCTCTTTTGTGATTATTTTGCTGACTAACATTAGCAAAGCAGTTATCTGGCGCTAAAATAAATCATACTTTAACCCATTTTATTCTGAACATATGGTTATGCTGACTATTAAATCAATTTTAGGATTTGCCAGTGCTCTCAATGCTGCCATGCCTTTGCTTGTGTAATTGTTAAACTGAATTTGGCCTGAGGCTGCCTCCATACCTTGAGTCCCTGCTCAAGGAACTGCAACCTAACTTGGTATGTACACAGACTGAAAACCTAATTTAGGAGTATTTTTTTAAATAAAAATAGTTGAGTCTCAGCCAATCACAGGCTGTCAACTGATCAGACCATGCTATTTTTTGCACCTCACTTCCTTTTCTATCTATAAATACTCTCTGCCTACCTTCAGAGAGAAGCTCTTTCAACCTCTTCTGGTTCTGAGGGCTGCCCAATTGATGAATCATTCTTTGCTCAAAATAAAAAAAAAAATTGTTCAATTTAATTGGTCAAAAGTTTTTTCTTTTTTACATAATGTTGGATGGGATGCTTCTAGTACATTTGAAGGAGATTGGGAATTGAATTTGGTGTTCAAAATCCTGACTCTCTCACTTACTAGTTCAGTAAATGAATAAGCTAGACAAAAACTTTTGAAACATCAGCTGATTTAGCTGAAAATGGGGTTCATTAATAATAATACCTTTTATTTAAAGTGGTTGTTTTATAGCATTTATGATGTTGGGATTTGAGTTACTTTGCCTGCTATTTTGAGGAAAACATACAGGGAAAAATGAAGGTTCAATCCAACTTATTTTTCCATAAAATCGTTCATTTTTCTCCAAAGTAGAAGCAAACAAGAAATATTGAAACTGTGAGTAGTGTGTAAAACTTTATAATAAATGCACTCCTTCACATTAAAGTCTTATTTGCAGAGCTGATTCTTTAAAATAACTCTGAATGTCTCTATGGTGTCTCTTGTTGAAGATGCAGCATGCAGTGATTTTTGCTAATTAGTCTTAATATGGTTAACAGATGGTGAAATTTAAATTTGTGGGGGAAAAGTGTGTGCAAGTCTATATGGTTACCTCGAGCTATATGTGAACCCTTTAACGACATAAAGATATAAGTACAGTTCCTTTTGTGAATATGTCAGAGTATCGTGATATCAAGAAAAGAAATATCATATAAAGTTGAAATATAAAAATTACAATATACAGTCATGAATTGCCTAACAATGGAGGTACATTCTGAGAAACGTGTCTTAAGGTGATTTCAGTGTTGTGGAAACATTGAGAGTGTACTGACACAAACCCAGATGTTATAGCTTACTATACACCTAGGCTATAAGGCGTAGCCTATTGCCCCTGTGTTACAAAACTGTACAGCATGTTACTGTGCTGAATACTTTAGGCAATCATAACACAATGGTAAGTATTTATTTATCTAAACATATCTAAACATGGAAAGGGTACAGCAAAAATTGTATAAAAGATTTTTTAAAAAGATACACTTTTATATGGCGCTTACCATGAATAGAGCTTGCAGGAAAACGAAGTTGCTTTGGGTGAATCAGTAAGTGAATGGTGAGTCAATGCAAAGGCCTGAGACATAACTGTAAACTACTATAGACTTTATAAACATGGTACACTTAGGCTATACTAAATTTATAAAAAATAATTATTCATTCATCAATAATAAATTAACCTTAACTTACTGTAACTTTTTTACTTTATAAGGTTTTACATTTTTGAAACTTTTTAGCTCTTTTGTAATAACACTTAGCTTAAAACACAAATACATTTTACAAGTATACAAAAATATTTTCTTTCTTTGTATCCTTATTCTGTAAGTTTTTTCTACTTTAAATATTTTTATTTTTATTTTTATTAACTTTTTAAACTTTTTTGTTAAAAACTAAGACACAAACACACATATTAGCTTAGGCCTACATAAGGTCAGAGTCACCCATGTCACTGTCTCCCAACCTCCATCTCTTAGCCCACTAGAAGGCCTTCCAGGGCAAGAATATGCTTGGAGCTATTATCTCCTATGATAGCAATGCCTTCTTCGAAAATACCTTCTGAAGTACCTTCGTGAGGTTGTTTTATAGTTATTTTTTATATATCAGTAGAACAATCACATTCTGAAATAATGATACAAAGTATAGTATGGTAAAAATAAATCACTAAGGTAGTCATTCATTATCATTATCAAATACTAAATACTCGACCTAATTATTACAATGTTATGCCAGCTACATTACTAGGTGATAGGAATTTTTCAGCTCCATTACAGTCTTATGGGGCCACCATCCCATATGTGGTCTCTCATTGACTAAAATGTCACTATGTGGCACGTGACTGTATTTATGAGGGTATTCACTAACAAAGATAATACTAATCAAATTTATTTGCTTATTTCTTGACTAAGAACCAAAACTGTTTAGAGAATGAAGATTTATGTTCGGATTATTTGCTGGCTGCCATTAATGAGTCGCTCATTAGAATGCATATTTTACTCCGAACCTGGCTTTCGTAGATGATCAATAGACACTTTTCAATTAAAGAATGTTATGATAGCTATCAATATCTAAAGAGATGAATCTTAGGGTGATTGGTTAAAAAGACATCACTTCTACTTTCTGTGTTTTTTTTTTGCCTTCTTAAATATCTAACAATATTTATGATTTCTGAATTTCAATTTAATTCCAGGTAACTAAATCATCTCAACATAGTTCAAAAATAGTTTTGAAAAGGCTATCATAGCTGCCTTCGTGTCAGTGTTGCTGAATTCACATTGCTTTAACTTGGAATTAAGGGATTATTTTAACAAGTGGAAGCAATAAGACAATTTGTCACTCATCCCCCAGTAGAAGTTCTTGGAATAAAAGTTATCTTTCCCTCTGTGTCTCTAGAAAACTTGTCCTTTGCTGTGGTATGTGTGACCAAGAGAATCTGTGGTGTTTTGAAAATCACAGGATACTGCTAATAAACTTTGAAAATTCTTTTCTTTAAAAATAAAGAAGTACAGTGTCAAGATTGTACTTATGACAACCTTATTCTCACACATTTGCTCTATGATACTCTTTTTTAAGCAGGAAAGGAAAGGGCAAATCCTTCATTTGTATAAATATTATCCTTATCTAGTGTATAGTTCTGAATTGAACATGTGACAGTTATGTGAGGTATATGTCATGGCAAGAAAAAATGGCTACAAATAATTTACCTGTATATAATATTTCTGCTTTCTGCAAATTCAAAGGGGAAGATAATTAGTTTAGTAACAAATCCTTTTACTGTTTATTTCCAGGGAAACAATGCACTATATCTTAAAAATAAACAAAAATTAAGAGGCTTCAATGTTTTCTTGGGGCTATTTAGTTGAACCTTTAGAATTTGCTACTTCCTGCTGGGACCCTTACTGATTTACTGGTTCTAAAGGGAACTATTAAGATAACTTTACAGAGATGTAGGTATGGTTAATTAAACCACAGGAAATGGTGACATCGTGGGACTAGCAACAAAAGAAAGTCATTTCCATCCCTAGTCTGATGAAAGGAGAGAAGGCAACTGTACAACAGGAGCCTTCAGAAAATGTTGAACTATGGAAGAGGAAGCATTCTCTAGAAGCTGTAAATGTTGAGCGCATCCACCAAAAGCTGTAGATGACACACAAAGAAGGAGAGGAAATAAATACCCTAGTCTCAGTCTCCTGCCTTCCAATTCCTGCCAGTGTCTCCCATTGGCCAAATGCAAGGAAGAAAGTCCAAATGATGTCTATAGGGGTCAGCACTCTAGAGCACAGAGCAGGAAAAGACCAGAGGGTGTGTCAGAGAGGAAAAAGGAGTGTCACCAGCAAAAGGATCACTTTGTTCCATGTGAAGCAAAAATAAAATGAGCAAAATCAGCTTTTTCCTCTTTCCTCCAGGTGACTTTGTCAACTACTTATGTCTATATACTCAGAGAATATAAGTGAGTATTAACATCATGCTGGGAAAATCTGGAGCTAATATATTATCTATTTCAAATAGATTTTAAGACAAGCTTTTGATAGTGATGACTCCTGGTAAGTGACATTTATACTTTGGACATTCTAACTGTAATCAGGGGAGTCCATATTATGCAAGTTCTATGATATTTCTATATTAAAATCCAGATGGGAGTAATGCTTTTCTTTGATGGCTGGTCTGCCTTAGTCAATGCTATGAAAGATAGACATGTCAAGTTATACATTATTTTATCTGCTTCTGACAAGTGTGATACTCTATTTTGGCATGTGTTATGACTACTTTTCCTAGAAACAAAGGAAGAAAAATTATTAAGCCATTAAAAATCCTTTTGAATATTCATAACAATATGCCTTTTCATGATTCTTTATAAGAGGAAGTCACTATCAGATAAATAAGTTAAAAATGTATAATTTTTCTTCCGTTAGCCTTATTCAGTCAGTTTTGAGACAACTACTTATAGTTTATCTTCATTATTGCTAAATTATTTTTGCTTTGGACTTTCTACTAGCAAAAGTATGTAGACTATGGGGAGCCATCCATATCAAAATTAGCACTTGAACAAATAAAGTACTTTACTTGTTATATATTAATCATGGATTAATGGGGAATGGAAATACAATTGACTCAGTAAGTGCCCAAATTTTTCTTAACCAGAAATGTGCCTGAGGAACACTTTTTAAGAGAGGAAGATAGATTAATAACAAACCTCCTAGATACAATGAAAGAAGAATCTGCATAAAGAGTTTGTTACAATTTTATGGGTTTACAATATGATGACTTGGCCAAGAGATGTTACAGACATAAATTTCCAGGCTCCCATTGCAGAGATCTGCAATTGATCCAAAAATCTCTATCTGATAAGAAAAGTTTAATAAACCATACATATGGAAATTTTAATTATATACTCAATCTAGATGCAATTAGGAATACCTATGTATGGACAAAGACAATGAAGTACAGAAAACTTGGTGGTACTAACTTACCCATTAAAATATAGGAGTATGAGGTCGGGCACGGTGGCTCACGCCTGTAATCCCAGCACTTTGGGAGGCCGAGGCAGGCGGATCACTAGGTCAGGAGATGGAGACCATCCTGGCTAACACGGTGAAACCCCGTCTCTACTAAAAATGCAAAAAATCAGCCAGGCGTGGTGGCTGGCGCCTGTAGTCCCAGCTACTTGGGAGGCTGAGGCAGGAGAATGGCGTGAACCCGGGAGGCGGAGCTTGCAGTGAGCCGAGATCGCGCCACTACACTCCAGCCTGGGTGGCAGAGCCAGACTCCGTCTCAAAAAAAAAAAGTATGAATTATTTTGTCTCTACATATTTGTTTAGCATTTATAGTTTTAAAGTTTATTCTTTAAAAAACTGTTTGTGGATTTTCCCAAAGATTGCAGCTAATATGCTGTCTTTCTGTATCTATTATTGACTAGATCATGACCCCCTTGACCACAGTAACAAGTTCCCAGCACGTATCCTGGATTCTGGATCATAGAGAATACTTGAAAATATTGAAACGAATACATACACGCTTTGAATACAGGAGGTTGTCAGAGTTGATGCAAGTTACAAATGTATGACATACCAAGTTTTATTTTGTTTGTTGTTTGTTTTTAGAGACAAGGTCTTGCTCTGTTGCCCAGACTAGAGTGCAGTGGTGCAATTATGGCTCATTGCAGCGTAGAATGCCAAGACTCAAGTGATCCTCCTGCTTCAGCCTCCTGAGTAGCCGGGACTATAGATGTTCACCACCATGCTGTAAGTTTTTTATTTTTATGTTTGTAGAGTTAGGGTCCCACTATGTTGCCTTCACTGAGCTACAACTCCTGAGCTCAAGCAATCCTCCTGTCTCAGCCTTCCAAATGCTGAGATTACAGGCATGACCTACCATGTCTGGCCTGTGCCAAGTTTTAATTTAAAACAATAGCAGGGAATATACATCATATATATATTTTTCTTTTTTTTAAATAGAGAACGTACTAGTGTGAAAGGAATCGATAATTCAAAAACATCTTTTTATAGTACAGGTTTCCTTTGGAAAAATGAAAATTCAGTAGAATTGATGCTACTTGTCAGTTATCCAAATAACGACAACAATAAAAATTAAAACTTGGATTATCACAGTTTAAATGAATAGGAGGATTATTTACTTATGTCTGTCAATAATGTCAAAGATCAAGACATATTCTATTTTGCTACTTCTTTATGCTTGCAAGGGTATTTGCAGGAGACCTGTGATGGTGATAGCCATCCTATACATATTTAAGATAGAAGTACGGGAGAAAACAGCAGTGCCAACTGCATTCATACACTTTGCTTAGGAGTGCAAAAGATTTCTCAGAAACCTCTGCACCAAATTTTACTTAGTTTGCGTATATTATAATTGAACAATTAGGCTATTTAGGTATATTTTTACTGAAGAGAATCTTAAAATGTTGTAAAATAATAAAAGATTGGAATGATGGATTAGAGCAAGAGTGATTCATCTCTGGGTTCTGGGTTTTTCATTGCAGACATGGCCAGTTGTCGTCTGCTCAACATCTTTCCCTGTTTTCTCTTTCATTCCTAACAAAACCTTGGACTGGTTCATAGGAGTCCAGTGCTTAAGCCAAACCAGAAGAGGTCACTGGGGATGATCAAGCCAATGAATCATGTGATAGGATGGAATAAACACTGACATAGATGTTAGGATATCTGGATTCTGGTCCCAACTATTTCAAGAGCTAGTACATCAAAATCAGTCCTTTTTCAGGGCGTGTTAATTCATCTGTAAAATTTAAATGGTTGGAAAAGATAGGGGATTTCAAACTATGTTCTTCACATCTGAAGTTCTGCAGAAATATGGAGTGTTCCACATGGAAATGTGAGTAAGGAGAATCTAAAAGGGAAGGGCCGTGACCCCCACTTAAAACAGATGAAGGAGGAATTGCTTTGACTTATTTGTTGAGATTCCACCAATGTTTCATTTGCCAAAATGTTGTATTTTATTTAAAATGTTTTAAAAATCACTGGGAAAGAGGCTCTCTTCGGCCTTCTCCATCTATAATATGTTTAATAGGCCATGTTTTAATATATAAATTAGAAGAGAAATGAAACTATGTATCTCCCACCAAACCCAAAGACTTCTAATTCTAATTGTGTTTGACATGAAAATATCCCAGAAAACCGTAGAACTGAATCATATGCCATTTGGATCTGAATTCTTACTTATTTTTAAAAACTTATTGTTAGAAATGTCAGTGGATTCTGAGGGAGGACAACTCCAATTCTTGTGATTGCAACATAAGTTATGATTCATTTCCTTACCTAGGGGAGAGTAGCTAAAAAACATCCAAGCGGATGGAATATATTCCATAGGGGATAGACTAAAGTGGTTAGGATGCCTAAGTTTATATATTTTGACCAAGAGTGAATAAGATTAGAATTCATAAAATTAGGACAAGGATTAATAGAAAGAGGACCGTTGAAGTATAGAAACAAGGAAACTTAGATTCAAGGCAAATAAGATATGTATCTTATGCAGATAAAAATTAAGTCGAAATACATGCCTTTAAGCCTTACAAATTTTGCAAAGGTAACATAAGTTTAAACTATAAGCTCATGATAAAACTGCAATAGAGGACAAAGGTAAGTTAGCATTTTTTGACATTGCTTTAAAAATAAATACGGTCATGAGATATGTGGTTCAACTCTGGCCTCTTTCTTATAATAAGAATTCCTTGGTATTACTAACTCATAGACTGAAAGATATATTTTCAAAGTTATTATGATTTTATATTTAAAGCATATGTTCTGTGCAGTACTCCATGCTGAGCACAATTAAGCATACAAAGAGATATAAGGTACAGTGCCTACCTTTATAGATGCTTAAAATCAAGTTAGGAAATTAAAATATGGAAATATAAATGAAAATACATTTAAAGATATTGCCATACAACCTGAAATATTGAAATTACTCAATAAAATTTAACTCTTAATTCAATGAATTCTCACAGAAACCATATTACACGGTGTGATTGTTACCCCTGTTTTGTAAACAGAACTGCTTTAGTTTGGGAAGTAACTTTCTGAGGACTTCATAGCAAGTAAGCAGTATGTCGGGGGTGAGGGAGGAGCTCTTTCTTTTCATTATTGAGAGGCTCATGCTCTGAACCACTGCACTAACATACATTTTAGATGACAGGTTATTTCAGACCTTTCTGTTTCCTCAGGCCTCTTCTCTAGCAGATGACATTATCTTCTTCTAACAAAGGAAATTGAGAGTTTGGATTAAAAACTCTGAGATGTGCATTTTTTCCTCCTGAAGACAATAATGAAGGAAATACAGTTGAGTACAGAGAGAATAGAAGTTCTTCCAAATAATTCTCTTACCGCTATCTTGAGGCCAGTGATTTTGACTTTCCAGACATCTTTTTACATCATTAGCCACTGTTCTCTCTCTCAGTCTGTCTCTCTGCCTATCTCCAGTGCTCTGACTTCTCCCTCTGTTATGACTAATTTACCTCATCATTAAAAGTGAACTCTTGCTCTATCTAGGGAAACACAACCTTTTCCGATCTGGCCATCAGTTTTTCCATCACGACCACACTCAATAAAGAAACACTAGCCTTTTAAATTTTTTTAAAGTGACTTCTTTCTCCTAAACCCAAGATCATGTATCTAGTCAGCAAGAGCTCTGTTAAGAAAGGATGGTGGCAAAGGAAGCGAATGAGCAGTTATTGGTCAAAGGGTACTAAGTTTCAGACAGATACAACAAGTTTTGATATCTGTTGCATAACAGGGTGACTATAGTCAAACTATCACATTGTACCTCATAAAACATACACAATTATGATTTTTCAATTAAAATAATAATAAAAAAGAAAGGGCAAAAAAATAGCTAATAACAACCCCTTTAAAAATGGTCTTCTAAGGATACCAATGACCTTTTGACTCTCCAATTAAAATGGAAACTGAAGAGTCCTTAGTTTAGTAGACATTATTATGGCAAATATCAAATAAATATCAAATAAAGCTTTTGATGACAACTTATTTTTTCTTGAAATTATCATCTCCTTTTGCTTGAACATGCATTTTTTCCCTTTGTTACCTCACTTTTTGGAATAGCCCATCACATTTACCTCTCCACATTCCCCTTTGTTGTATTCTTTTCAAATGGCGGTGATCCTCTGGAGTGTGTCTTTCTTGACTTCCCTTCTTAGATTCTATACATTCCTCTGTAACAGATGTTCTGCAACAATGACCGTATCTTTGTCCCACTGCTCTGCTGAACTCCAATTCAGCCTAATGTGAGCCTCCGTTCTGGTAGTTCTTTTGAACCTGAAAATCAGTATGTCACTGTCTAAACTTGTATCTTTTCACTAAATCCTCTTCTGTTGCCTCTTTTGACTTTAAACATGTCTTATTATTTGCCTTTTTTCTCTAACAACTAATTTCTCTCTAACACTTCAGTCTATCTAGTTGTGACCTCTCCTGGCATCCCATTCTACCTTTTCAGGTGATATCTCAATTGGAATACTCCCTCATCATCTTAAACAAAGTTATAGTTTCAATTACAAACCTCACTCCTAACCCTATTGTATTCCATTTCTATAAATGTTCCACCGTAAACATCATTGCTCTTGCTTAAAATCTCTGTTGTTTGTCAAATGGTAACTGCTCATTTTTTTACAAAATATATATATATACTAATACTTTTAAAGCCCTCCCTGTTCTTTATATCACCACTTCCATATTCAACTAATTCAAAGTCCCTCCACAGTATCTTTTGAACTGGAGATTTCTTTCTCCCTATTGCCATTGCCAGACACCCATTGTCTATATTGCAATAGCTTTCTACCTGATTTCATTGTCTTTAGTGTCTTCACCTATTAGATACCATCGATGGTTAATGCAACTAAAGCATAGCTCTGACAATGTCTTCTCCTCGGCCCAAAATTTTCCTTTGATCATTCCACCACATATGTTCATGTCCTGGACCAAATACACATTTCCACGTTTCTATCTCCATTAGACTTATTCAGCCTATATTCAAACAGATAGATGATAGATAGACAGATAAATAGAAAGAGACAGGTAGATGACAGACAGACAGATAGATAGAACGGTCCTTTTGCCTTCTTTCTGCCTTTGCACCCGCTGTTTACCACTTTCTGTCATGTCACGTCATCTCATCTCTACACATTCCATGACCTCCACCTTTAAAGCCCAATTAAAATGCTTCACAGCATATCCAACACTTCATTAGATATTACCTAGACTGTGGTGATAGAATCAGAGATGTCTGCCTATGTCCAAACTCACCAAATTGTACACATCAAACATGTATAGTTCTTTGTATAGCAATTCTACCTCAATAAATATGTTTTGAAAATATTTCATAAAAATTTTTATGATCTATGCAGTCAGAAACAACTCCTTTCTTCTCCAACTTCAATGGCACATTGAATTGTGCCAACATAATGAGTATAAATACTTATTCTTTTTGTAATGATTTTATTTATTTATTCAAAATTATTTATGGAGCGTCTACTAGGTTTCAGGTTATAATGGTGAAACAAACAGGCTGAGAGTATAGCCACATAAGTTTCAAGGGCCAGTGGGAGGGAGATATTCTGACTGTCAAAAGTTCTCAGAGCAACAAATGCATATGATAACTAATGAGGAAACTAGAAGAAATTACGTTTTTGTTGAGATATGAAGGATGGATAAATACAAGTATTTCCTCTGATAGACTTTGTTCAGGCAAGAACTTTATGTGCTTTGCCTTTTAGTCTCCTATATTAGCTTCTAGCTTGGATTTTCACATGATAAACAAGAAATACTTGTTGAATGAAAGCATCGAAATATTACCCTAGTACATAATCCTGTCACACCGGAAACTATCATTTTGGAGCGAGCACCATGTGAAGGGTGGCCCCAGATGAAAGTACGCCAGCCCATGCAGATAAGAGGTTCCACATGCTATGACAACAGCACCTGTTTCTAATTAGCATTGGCATTTTCTTTGTGGTTTGTGGTGCTGATGGTGACCCATGCTGTGATGTAGAAAACCATTTCATCTTAGCTGACACAACTAAGGTGGGATACAATAACGTAGATGTCACCTCATATCATCAGCCCGAAACATTTTTTTTTCTTCAGGAAGATAAATAAGCTGGCATTTAAGTGTCTAAGACACACAACTAAGCATGTTCTTGTCAGCAGAATGAAATGTTGTCACAAACTCGTAGGTTCCTGCTGCTCCGTAAATGCCACAGTCTTGATTTTCGCTGATCTCATAGTGAGATTGTTTTCCCTCATATAAGGCTGTTGATACAGATATAATCACTCAAGTTCTTATATGCCACTGCTTGACATGCATTGCTGAGAAATGACTCAACAGATTGCCTTCAAAGGCAGCAGACTTAGCCATCCAAGGATCTAAATCAAAACATGGAAACCAAATAGTTTTGTTTTGTTTTGTTTTTTCATTTCAATTGCACACTTGTATCAATCAGATGTGGTTGCCTGGAATACTCTTCAAAGAAGGATTTTAAGTGTGTGCCAGGCTCAGCAAAAACGAGGATCTCTAACTCTTCTAGCATTCAGCCCCCTAGCTCCTTTTTTTAAAAAAATTGCAGCATACTTTCCTAACTTTTCATTTTTTAATATGTCATTCCAGTATCTTAATCTCTGCCTCACTTAATTTCATACTCAACCTAGAATCTGAATAATCCATCAGTCCAACTGTTTCTTACTCTCAAATCCCTTTCCACTTTATCCTGCCATCATTCCTGCTCATTCCAAATCCAAAAACAAACAAGTTAAAAACAAAAACAAAAACAAAAAACAATACATACTGTCATCTCTCTGGCTTACCTTAACTGTACTCACCTATGCATTGCTTATCTTGAATGAGAGTAGAATTCCCATGACTCACAAAAGTTAAAATTAAAGTTTAAATAAATTGTGACAGGAAGCACCTACAATGTTTCTAAAATGTATGTGATGCTATTCTACACTCTACCTGAAAGACATACATAATTAAAAAAAAAAGTGTACGTGCTCGGAAACCATGACTATTCAATGTTCAGATGAGTTTCTTATTTTGTAGTGTTTGGCAATAGTGATTATTTATGAGTCAATATGATGCAAATTTTATTAATATTCGCACGCTAAATTGATCAAGAAAATCTTCCCAGAGTTGGTAGACCATTATGTGAGCTTTCAAAGAGACAAGGCGGAAATTGGGTTTCCTGCATTGGGAAATTTTCCTAGGCCATTTGGATCTGAATCCTTAAACTATTCTAATTCAGTTTACTCAGAACAAAGGATTAAGTAATATGTATTTTCAATTAGCTATTGCTTTGGGTTTCATACATGCTGTGACTTTTATTCCCAGGGCTTGTCCAGCCTTTTCATTTTTAGCTGTGCGTGCCTGTGTGAGTGGGAGAGAGGAAGGGAGTGTCAGAGAAAGAGAGAAATGAGTGCTGACCCAGGAGAAATTTATTTAATCAAATATATTATTGATTACATCTGTTTTTTTAAAAAATCTGCTTTCAGTAAGAGAAGGAGCTATCATAAGTTTGCAATAGTTTTCCTTTAGAAATTGGCTAATTATTGAGCTTATTAGAACTTTTATGTGAAGCTACACAAAAACCCTAGAACTGAAAAGACTCATTTAAAAAAATCACCATATTAATGGTCTTAGATAAATCTTTTAGTTTACCACTTTACCGTTTATTTATTCATAGAATTTGATTTTATAACTTTTTTCTTCAATTTAGAGGCAGATGAACATTTTAAGTGTTGCTTAGTGTTTTAAAGCAGTGTTTTAAAGAGACACATTCTTACACAGAATCACTCTAACTTGAAATAAAGGGATCAAAGAGTTTGTTTGGTTTATTTTTGAAAGGGTGAAGAAATATTCAGAAAGAAGATACCCTTGATGAGGGCTTGATTACTTAGTCGAATGTGTATAAATCTAGATATTAAAGCATACAGATCATGAAAATAATTAAAATAATGAAATAGAATGCTATGAAAGAATCTACATTGGCCTAAGACTACAAAGACATCTTGAAAATGTAATTCTAGTAAGAATAAAATGCAAGAGAGAAATTTAACCAAATTTTTTTACACAAACAGCTCTATGCATGTCTTCTGATGATATTTTGATCATAATATCGTTTTAATTTATGCTAAGTAAGTTAAATTGCCAGTTCATTGCCAGAACTCTCATGATTTTGAATTTAGTAGATTGAGGGATGGCCAATAAAGTATTCCAATCTGAATTTCACCAAGTTTTAAGCTTTATGCTGTTACATCACCTACTAGTCATGCTCAATACATTTTTACCACAGTTTCATTGTTTCATTAAAGAGTTAAGTAAGAGTTAGGTATGTAATTACATAAATACAACTTGTTTGAAGGTTTTCAGTTTAAAGGTTTAATAGAAGTCCAAACAAATACTAGTGCTGATAAGATGGTTTGGAGAGTTATAAGTAATTCCTACCCAAATTTAGTCTATTATTTTAAATATTAGAATTTACATTAATACAAAACCCTTTATCTACACATATTTAAAGTTTCCACAACCTTCATTTTCTCAGCCTTCCAGTGATGTTTTTTAAATTTCACAAATGGAGAAACTGGGGGAGGTTAATTGGCTTTCCACTGCAATGAAGGGTGAGTCAGTGACAGAGACAGAAATAGACACCAGGGCTTCATCTCTTCTCATCCTGGTTCATATCATGAGAAAAAGCTTTCTGCTTATAAATACATTTAATGACATGGTTCCTGGAACTGTTAATTAGGAGAGTTTTTAAAACCCACCTGGTTTTAGAAACAGATTGCAACTTCCAAAGTTGGGCATGTTTTGATGAAAAGGTTGGGAGATTTGTGTCAATTTTTTGAGAATTAGAAATCAGTTCATCACTTAAGGAAACAAAAAATATATATAGTGAAGTGTGTATATAGTTGCCTTCATAAATGCTTGTCAATGTGTTCCACCCCTGTTCTAGTGCTAAGATAGCTACGAAAGTTGTATGTATACCTATATGAGTCAAGAGTACATTGATTTTGTTGGAAACATGAACACATGAAAAAGCATACACATATAAATATGGAAGAAAAACTGAGCTAAAGGGAAAACTGAACAAAAGAAAAAAAGGGAATTAGGATTGATTTAGTCTGTCTTAGTGGAATATTTGATGCATGCAGATGTTCCTTAACTTACAATGGGATTATACCCCCAATAAATCCTTTGTAACTTGAAAATATCCTAAGTTAAAAATGCATTTAATATACACAACCTACCAAACACTATAGCTTAACACGGCCTACCTTAAACATGCTCAGAAATTTACATTAGCCTATAGTTGGGAAAAATCATCCAACATAAAGCCTATTTTTTTATGAAGTGTTGAATATCTCATGTAATTTATTGAACATTATATGGAAACAAAAAAAAAAAAAACAGATGATACTATGGGTACTCAAAGTAGTTTCTACTAAATAGATATCACTTTGGACCATTGTAAAATTGAAAGACTGTATATCAAGACATCATAAGTCGGGGACCATATGTATTTAGGAGTTTCTATCAATGATGAATTTATAAGAACAGTGAGCTCACAGAAATAATCAGGAAACAGTGGCTGCCAAAAAATGATGATGATAATAATAATAATGTGACTTTAAACTTTATTAAATGGAAGTGTGAGGAAAGTAATGTTTTTTTCAATTGTACCGGATAGAACATACTTCCAGAGCTGTTTTAGTTTTGGGTGTCTTTTTTTTTTTTTAAAGAGAGAGAAGGCAATTGGTTATATTTTAAGTTACTAGCCAGAAGAGAAAAGGCCTTTGAAAACTGTTAATTTTAAATGGAAGATATTTAACTGGAAAAAGAGAAAATTCATGAGGATATTAATGTTTTATAGGATGTGATGTGGAAATGGCGTTAGACTCATCCCATAATGGCACCAAGGGAGACAGCTATTTGTGGGTCAGAATCATTTTGGAGGGCTTGTTAAAACCCAGATTACTGGACCCCATTCACAGAATTTCTGAATTGGTGGATGTAGGTGGGTCCTGAGAATTTGCATTTCATCTCCTGGGTGATGCTGATGCTGCTGATCAGCAGAAGACACAGCACGTGGATAACCACTGCTCCAACTCAGATACTCACTGGGGGAAGCAGTAGAAAGTGTCTTCTAAACTATTGAAAAACTCTTTCTTTCTCTCTCTCTCTCCCTGTCACTTTTCTCTCTCTCCTTCCTCCTTCCCATAAATGAAATCACATATATGAGATAAATGGTTCTATAAGATCCCATGGTACCTATTGTACCCAACTCTTACACAAGTAATATTCAAAAATTATTTTGGGCAAGACAATTAAAAGGAATAAGACATAAGTAAAATAAACACATTCTTGATGGATGAAGAGCTTCTGGGCCACGTAGGGACAAACCCACTGATTTCACATTTCATTCTCAATCAAAGATAAACTGATCAAAATCAGTCTCTTGTTGGTTTATCTTACATTAACGTTCAAATATTGCCAGTTCTGGTACTGCAGATTTAGAAGGGCAATGCCAGCACAGGGGAATAGAGAGAATTACTACTTTAAACTTTAGAGGTCTTATTACATGCTAAAGATTGTTCTCTAATGTTTTAAATACTTTCCACTATCACTCTGCAGATGTATTTAAAAGATACCTGCTTCCTTTAATGACCAAACTATTTAGGCAAATAAAATCAAGACACTAGTCTGCTTATTCCTGAACTTGTGAAGAAAACAAAGTGTAGCTCATCTCTTTAAGCAAGACATCAAAAATTGAAACTACATGTGACAAGCCTAATTTATCTGTGCCAGTATCTTTTTTTTTTCTTTGCTAAACACCATATCCATTTTCCTAACTACTTTATTCAGTTTGCTTCTGTAAAATTCAGTTAAAGCTCTTGTTTTAAATTGCTTTTATTTTACATTGCCCCAAATTGTTTACTTAGTTCCATTTGATTCAAACTCTGCTTTTGCTTTCAGGCCTCTTCATTCCTCTACCCATTATGCACAGGCTCCTTGCTTAAAAGAATCCTCTTGTGGGTGGGTTATTATCATGTCTCTCCTAATGGCATAGTTAAGGTTGTGTCAAAAGTGTACTTGCATGGTATAATAAACTACTCTTTTCTAGAATTTGCTGAAATGAAAGTATTTATTTCCAGTTGCAGTGGTACCATGGTGAATCTACTGTAACTGAAAACTGAGCATATTTAAATTTATTGGCGGAGTAAACGCAGCTTAGGCAAGTGATGGAAAAAAGGGCTGCATCTTGCCTTACAGTTAGTTATACTCTAAAATGTGTAAGAAGTGGAGGATGATTAGTTTCTACATTTGCAGAAAGGCAAAATGTCTTTCACTGATTTCATGTTTGTGCATTAAAAACAGTAATTAATGAACACTTTCCCTGCATCTGGGTTGACAGATTAAGAAAAAAGAGAGATGGAGTGCAAGGTGACTTTTTCAGGCTTTCAGGAAAATCTGTGGATACCAAATTTATGTACAATCATGTTGTTATTGAGTGCATTAAGGGCTTCTTCAGATTGAGCACAAGACAATAAGAGGGTGTCTTTAAGTACTTTTTTAAACTTTAAGTTTTACCACTGTTACCGCTTTCTGAATTACAATGTAAGGCAAAACTCACTGCAAGCAGCAGAGAACAACAGTAGGAGCCTTAGCTTACTATTTGTATGATAAAGATTATAGAACAATCCTGTCAACATCACAAATCTACTAGAGGAATTGGCTGATGTAATAGGTGCTTAATGTTACACACACACACACACACACACACACGCATACACCCACACACACACACACCCCCCTTAAATTCTGATTCTACTAAGATGAATGAGAGGGAACATAGAATGGCTTTTTGGAGGGGTTCATGCAGATTATAGTGATGATAATATCCAGTCAAGGTGGGAGTGCCTATCTGCTTCTTAACAAAGGAAAATTGATTGGGTTGTCAAGAATTCAGATTTAACAATTCAAGTTCCTATAATGAAGGTTGTCTTTGTCAGAGAATGGAAGGAACTCAAGTTTCCACGTAAGTCGATATAAATTGTGGTCCTTCGTCTAACAATTTCTATACAATTTCCTTCTTGTAATATAAATATTCATGTTTTTCAGTCTTGAGGCATAAAACATTTGTTATTTGACTGCCCCAATTTTACTGTCAAATAGTTTCATCAGGAATCTTATTAAAAATCATTACATTGATATATCCCGCATAATTGGCAAAACTAACAACAAAGTAAAAGATTTCAAAATACGAGGCTTGCTTTTAAGTGTGTCTTATATATTCAAAACAATTCTGTGCTTGTAATTGGCTCAGTTCAAGCCAAGATACACATCTTGAGTGCCAGTGATTATAAAGATACTGTGCTAGACCATGCAGTGAGCAAGAGGGATTGAAGTCTTTGTCTTCAAGAAGCACACAATCTAGTAGCAAAGGCAGACTCAAAATAGGCTTTTCATGGTAGTTAGTCTTGTATGAGATGCCTAATTTGACGTTTTGACAAGAATCCTAGGCAGTTACGTGAAAATAAATGATTGATTATGAACAAGAGGCATTCAAGGAAATATCTCCGAAAAGTTTGGTATTTGAAATCAACTTTAAAAGGGCTCATTGATTAGCCCTCTCTACCTGCCTGGAATGCCATCTCTCATATCTTGGAATGTCAAAGGCATAAGAAACGGTAGTTCAATCTATATGCAGGTAATGGTGAGTGTTCCACTGTAATTAGAATATGGGTGATAAAAGTGTAGCTGCAAAAGTACCTAGGAAAGCATGCCGCATAATTGGAAACAGTTTACTTTAATTGTATTCTTACAACAACCCTATAAATCAGCATAGACACAATTCTCCTATTTTGTCAATGAGGAACTAGATAATTAAAGAGTTTAAACCTAACTCCACTGTGGTAGTTGATTAAGCAATTTAAGTCTGTTTTCTATGGAACTGAAGTCAGCAAGGCTAGTAATCAGGACAGGAAGATAGACACAAAGTGACAGATTCAGGAACAAGTCTGAAACCATGAGAGCTGTATCTGTTTCTCACCTTCTATAAACAGGTGCCCTTCACCACAGAGATTCACACACATTGTCCTGGGATTCAGATAAGCTAACAAAATAGAGTGGAAGCTGGTTGAACTGTGGGCCTATCAACTGCCTCACTTTACAAGGTAAGCAGTAGATTAGTGAAAATGTGTGATCTGTAATAGTATCTGCCTTTAGTGACCTTCATAGCATAAAACACATCTACTCCTTCACTCATGCCTTCCAAATTCCATGCACATTGCTCTTGTGGCCAACGCTAACTCAGAGCCACAAAGCGAAGGGAATTCTGAAAATGTAATCTCAGCTTAGTTAAATTGATTTGTATGAAGCCACTGCAGCTCCAGAGACTCTGGCTACTGTTAGATTCCTTTGAAGAGTGGTTTTTGTTCTAGAAGGAAATTGATGTGACTGAACTTTAACTTCATACTCTATCTCCTGGTCTGTGGGCTGCCACTAAAATCTCCACATAGCTTTTCTCAATTGACCTACTGGGGTCTTGCTGACACCTGTGTTGCTCAGCTGTCCAATTTGAGCAGATTTTATATACATTCCTTCTGTGTTACCCCTTTTTCCTGGATTTCTCCACTAACTTTTGTCTGCCAGCTTTTATCACTGAACTCTGTCCTGTGAAACCTCAGGCCAGTAGCTGCCCTGAGCCACATACATTTTCAGAACTGTCTTACCAGGTACAATCCTGTCTTGCAGGGATAGTGCTGTGGATTGAATGTTTCTACTATTTCCGCAAAATATATATGTTGGAGCCCCAAATCCCAATGTGATGCTATTTGGGGGAAGGGGCTTTGGGAAGCAATTATGTTTAGATGGGCTCATGAAAGTGGAACCCTTGTGAGGTAATGAGTGTCTTTATAAGAAGAGGCAACTTTTTTATCAGAGCTAACTTTCTTCTCCAAAGTGCACAAAGAAGAGATCATGTGAACACACAGCAAGACGGTGGCCATCTACAAGCCAAAAGAAGAAGCCTCAGAATAAAATCCACCTTGAACTTGGGCTTCTCAGCCTCCAGCACTGTGAGAAATAAAAGTCTATTTTTAAGCCACTCAGTCTTTGGGATTTTGTTATGGTAGCTGAAGCAGACTAAGACAGGTAGTCTTCACTCCAGTTTCTAATACTTGCTATTCTCCAGTGCCTGCAAAAATAGTCCTATGAATGTTTTGCTACATTATATAATTGTTACCTGCATAAGTCTTAGAGTGATAGAGCTATTCCACTATTATTAGAAGTCAGAGGTTTATTTTTCTTGATAAGTGTATTATTAACCGAAAAAAGTTGTTTCAAAAATATATGAAATATATGATATTCTTTAAAATTTTCTGAATAAACACGTTTATATATGCAGAGAAACAAACATCTGGAAAGTTCTGCAGCAAAACATTAAGAGTGACTTTGTTACTGTTCTGAGCCTGTGAGTATTGTTTTTCTTCTGTTTGCCCATCATATTTTCTGTTTTCTTACATTGATCATGAAATATTGTGTAATTATATAAGTGAAAACTCCATTTCAACCCCAAATTTTCTTAAGCTGATTAGCAACTTCAGCAAAGTTTCAGGATACAAAATTAATGTGCAAAAATCATAAGCATTCCTATACATCAACAATAGACAAGCAGAGGGCCAAATCATGAATGAACCCCCATTCACAATTGCACAAAGAGAATAAAATACCTAGGAATACAAGTAACAAGAAAAGTGAAGGACCTATTCAAGGGGAACTACAAACCACTGCTTAAGGAAGTCAGAGAGGATACAAGCAAATGGAAAAACATTCCAGGCTCATGGATAGGAATAATCAATACCATGAAAAAGGCCGTACTTTCCAAATAATTTATAGATTCAATGCTATTTCCCTTAAACTACCACTGACATTCTTCACAGAATTAGAAAAAAACTACTTTAAAATTCATATGGAACCCAAAAAAGAGTCTGTATCGCCCAGACAATCTTAAGCATAAAAAACAAAGCTGTAGACATCATGCTACCTGACTTAAAACTATACTACAAGGCTACAGTAACCAAGGCAGGATAGTACTGGTACAAAAACAGACACATAGACCAATGTAACAGAATACAGATCTCAGAAGTAAGACTGCACATCTACAATCATCTGATCTTCAACAAACCTGACCAAAAAAAAAAAAAAAAAACAACAAACAAAAAAATCAAGCAATGGAGAAAGGATTCCCTATTTAATAAACGGTGCTGGAAAAACTGGCTAGCCATATGCAGAAAATTGAAACTGGACCCCTTCCTTGTACCTTATACCAAAAATAACTCAAGATCAATTAAAGACTTAAATGTAAAATTCAAAACTCTAAAAACCCTAGAAGAAAATCTAGGCAGTAGTATTCAGGACATAGGCACAGGCAAAAATTTCATGATGAAAACATCAAAAGCAATTACAACAAAAGCAAAAATTGACAAATGAGATCTAATTAAACTAAGGAGCTTCTGCACAGCAAAATAAACTATCATCGGAGGGAGCAGACATATTACAGAATAGGAGAAAATGTTTGCAATCTATCCATCTAACAAAAGTCTAAATGTCCAAAATCTACAAGGAACATAAACAAATTTACAAGAAAAAACCAAACAGTCCTATTAAAAAGTGGGCAAAGGACATGAACAGACACTTCTCAAAGCATAATATATGAAGAAAAGCTCAACATCACTGATCATTAGAGAAATGCTTATCAAAACCACAATGAGATACCATCTGATGCCAGTCAGAATGATGATTATTAAAAAGTCAAGAAACAACAGATGCTGCCGAGGCTGTGGAGAAATAGAAATGCTTTTACACTGTTGATAGGAAAGTAAATTAGTTCAACCATTGTGGAAGATAGTGTTGCTATTCCTCAAAGACCTAGAACAAGAAATACCATTTGACTGAGCAATCCCATTACTGGGTGTACACCCAAGGGATATAATCATTCTGTTATAAAGATACATGCACATGTATGTTCACTGCAGCACTATTCACAACAGAAAAGACATGGAATCAACCCAAATGCCCATCAGTAATAGACTGGATAAAGAAAATGTAGCTCATATGCAACATGGAATACTATGCAGCCATAAAAAGGAATGAGATCATGTTCTTTGCAGGGACACGGATGAAGCTGGAAGCCATTATCCTCAGCAAATTAACACAGAAACAGAAAACCAAACACCACATGATCTCACTTATAAGTGGGAGCTGAACAATGGGAACACATGGACACAGGGAGGGGAACAACACACACTGGTGCCTGCCATGCAGGGGGTGAGTGGTGTGTGAACAGAGAGCATCAGGCAAATAGCCAATACATGCAGGGCTTAATACCTAGGTGATGAGTTGATAGGTGCAGCAAACCACCATGGAACCCAATTACCTATGTAACAAACCTGCACATCCTGCACATATATCCCAGAACTTAAATTTTTTAAAAAGAAAGTCGAGTCAGCCTGAATCTTTTATTCTGTGATCATGAAAATGTGTCTTTAGGTATTAAATAATCCTTCTCAAATCAGTTTACTATAACAATGTACTTTGGTGTTTTTAATTTTCTTCTGAAAAACTAGAATTTGTTTTTTAAATAAATGATCCATGACCTTCCTCTCTCTTTTCTTCTTTATTTTTCTTTCCTATATCCTTTATTTTATCTTCCTTTTTCTGCCCTTCTTCCCAATATTTACCAAGTTTATACTCCATGCTAAATATTATTCTACACTCTGGAGATCCAGAGTTGAATAAACTCTAGTCTCTCAGGAAATCTGTTTGGGAAGATAGACAAGTGCATATTGCAGCATGGTGTGATGACATTATGGACAGAACAGGGGGCTGAGGAAAGGGTAGGAGAGGCACTGGGCCTTCCAACAAAATGAGGAGAGTAAAGGCTTGCTGCTCCTAGATGGCTTACATGAGAAAAGATATGAAAAGCACAGTCAGGTAATTTATCTTCTTTCTCTCCCTTATAGATTCATCTTTTTGTGTACTCCAATTCTCTATTACTTTGAAGACTGTCTTATTAATATTTACTTAGTTTTCAAGTTGACATATAAAATTATTATGTATTCATCATATGCAACATGATGTTTATAAGTATATATACATTGTGGAATGGTTAACCCTAGCTAATTAACAAATGCATCACCTCCCATGGTTACCATTTTTGTTATGAGACACTTAACATCCATCGTCTTAGCATTTTACAAGAATACAATATGTCAACATTAACTACAGTCAGCACAGATCTCTTGAACTTATTTCTCCTATCTAACTATTAATATGTATTTTTGACCAACATCACCCCTACCTCCCATCCCTGCTAACCACCCAGTCTCTGGTAAGCCACCACTGTATTGTCCATTTCTATGACATCAACTTTTAAGATTCCACGTATGAGTGAGATCATGCAGTATATGTATTTCTGTGCCTTGCTTATTTAGCTTTTCATAATATTCTGCAGATTTATTCAAGTTGTTGCAAACAACAGAATTTCATTCTTTTTATGGTTAAATATTATTCCACTATGATTATATACTACATTTTCTTTATCCATTCATCCATTGATGGACTCTTTAGTTGAATCCATATCTTGGCTATTCTGAATAGCACTGCAATAAACGTAAGAGTGCAGATATCTCTTCAACATACTGATTTCATTTCCTTTGGATATACACCCAGCATTGCTGGATCATATGGTAGGCAGTTCTATTTTTAATTTTTTGTGAAACTTTCATACTGTTTTTCAGAATAGCTTTATTCATTTAAATTCCTACCAATAGTGTCTAAGTGTTGTCATTTCTCCACATCCTCCCCAACACTTATCTCTTGCCTTTTTTATAATAGCCATCCTAATAGGAGTGAAATGATACCTCATTGTGGTTTTGATTTGCATCTCCCTAATGATTAGTGATGTTGAATATTTTTTCACATACCTTTGGCCATTTGTATGTCTTCTTTTGAAAAATGTCTATTCAAGGCCTTTGCTCATTTTTAATTGATTAATTTGATTTCTTGCTATTGAGTTGTTAACCCCTTATCAGGTGTATTGTATACAAATATTTTCTCCTATTCTGTAGGTTATCTTTTCATTTTGTTGATGGTTTCCTTTGTTCTGCAGAGGCTTTTTAGTTTAAGGTAATCCCACTTATCTATTTTTGCATTTGTTGCCTATCCAGAAAATCATCTTAAATTATTATTTTACATTTTAAGTTCTCTTTCAGCAGATAGAGACAGAGAACTTTTATATATTAAGCATTTTTTTTTACCATAATCATAATTTATATTACTGAGGCATTCCTGTTTACTTTAAATGTGCTACGAGAGCCCTTATAGATACTTAAAGGGTTGATTCAGTCATGACTAGGACAATAGTGACAGAATCACACTTATCTTACAATCTAGATCATCTACATAAAGGGTGAGGGACATGGGTGGCTCTTAGCTGATAATAGATTTGTACGTATCAAAATGACTTCAGCATTAGCATTTGGATCAAGCTTCATTTAAAGAGACATAAAAATAAAGTTTTGCACAGTAGTTTTACACCACTTTTGATGAAGCTGATTGATCTCCTACATTAGATAGAGAAAACTAAAATCCCCCAGGGAAACACTTACAACAATAAAAAGCGAGGCAAAATTAATACACCCTGTCTATGGGTCCTGCATATTTCATTTCTTTCATAGTTCATATCATGATTGTTGAAAACTTAGTGACTTTACACATATTTGAAGTAAAACTCCCCTCTGACTTCACTGGGTAAAATGTGCATGATAACAAATGCATTTACCCTTTAAATGAACCCAATTCACTGTAAGTGATGGGTGCTTTAAAACTAATGATGGACAGGCCTTGGGAATCTGGGGAGGTTGGTACAAGTTTCAACACTTTATCTGAAGCTAATGTGAGCTATTTGATTCAGCTTATGAGATCAAAAGTCTCATAGGAGTAGGAATTAGCACACTCAGCAACCTCACAATATTATAGAAGTCAACATTTGTTGGGCAGATGAATTTTTGGTGTCAAACATAAAAAATAGGCTTTCTTTTCTGTAACCTACTGTAGAGATCCATGTGGAATCATAAATCTGAAATATTGTGAATTTTCAAAAGAGAATGTCAAAGATTAATTACTTCTAAGAGACTAGCACTGAGCTTTTGCATGATTCACACTGACAGGGAGAAGTTTATCCCCTGTAATTTGAAAGGGAAAAAAATGTGTATTTCTTTTCATATAGTCAGAAGTAGAAAACCTTGAAAGATAAAGTCATCATCCTGTATGATTTAAAATTTTTAAAATATTCATCTTTTCAAAGAATAAATATAGGTATGCCTTTTTATCCTCACATGCATTATTTAAATTAAGATATGAAAAACTCAACTAATTCAGTTTTTATTCTTCATTTTGTAAATTCAGTAAATACTGGTTTCTCTGTAATGCTACCTTCCACATTGCCAATACCACAAACCAGATACAGTCTAACTCTGACAAATTGAACCAACAGAAAAAGGTTACATTTATTTCAGCATCTCAGTGCCCCTAGGCTTTCCTGTACTGTGAATTAGGCAAAACAGGGAAGCAAACAGGATATAAAAGAAGTTAAGCTCAATTCCAGCCAAGAAAATCTATCCTCATATTAACTAGGAAGTTATTCAATATTGCTTATTCTCTAGGCATGAGGGTGAGTTTGCTGTGATGCCACCAAGCTCCTTGTCCTGGTTTATTCCTAAATTTAGTTTGTTGTGACATTATGAGCTTTACAGGATTTCTAGGGGTCTTTGGACCAAGTCTGGACTAGCTTATAAGGCAACAAGGTACTTGGTGGGCCCTAGAGGAAGGCAGGAGACTCCCATCCCGCACAGTATAATGTTGACCAACTGTGAGTTCATTCAGAAAACATCCTGCATTTTGAAGAGTTATTCAATGCAGATAGGGAGCAAAGAGGGAGGGAACAAAGCTGAGGAAAATAATCAGGCTTGACTTTGCCATTGCTCAGTAACGGTTTTTGGAAAATGTTTTTGAGGTCTTTAATGGGGAAACGAAGGGAAAGAAAAAATAGAGCAGAGAAGGAGGAAGCAGGTGTAGTGATGAAGGGCTCAGACTTTGGAAGAATGCAGCTGGAGCTTCACTGCCTGCCCCATCACTCTACTTTTGTGGCTTCAGACACATCTCATAACTAAGTTCCAGAATTTTATTTTGCATCTGTACACATGGTACATTTATAGTGTCTATCTCGTATGGTTATTGTTATATTTAAAATGAAATAACAATAGTACTAACAAAGCCGGACTACAGCATTTAATGATTTTACATTTAACATGGTTATCATAGTCCCTGGCAAATATTACCTTTAACATCATTATATTTATTAGGGTGCTACTCTGATTTGTATATCAGCTCTGCTTTTATCTTTGCAGTGTTGGTTAGATGACTCTCCCTAATTCTCCAGAACTTTGTTTCCCCATCTAAGAGACGGCACGGATGGATCAAGTAGGCTCCAGGGCACTATCAAACTCTAACAATCTATAACTTGATCTTGTTTAAAGACTGCACTTTTGAGAGTCACCAGCTATGCACGCATATTCTTCCGGAATTCCAAATTGGGAGACATTATTCAGGGAATAGAAATGGGAAAAAAAATCCAAGGAAATAATTACAGAAAGAACATAATGATAGAAAGGGCACCTAAAATCCCTGCCTATTTCCAAAGGCTGTTTTTACACTTATGCATTCCTCATGAGACTGCCCCAAATGCAATTTAAGGAAACACTGAATTGGATTCAGAAAGTTGAGCGTTTTATGAATTTTTGTCTCTAAGTGACATATGCCTTTCTACAAAATCAGAAAATAGATTTGTTCAGTGCATGGAGTATTACTGATGCAATTGGGTAAGGCTGGCAAAATGTCTTTGGTTTTAGTTGACGACACTGAATAAATCTCCTGTCAGGAATAAATTGAGTATTCATGGAAGCTTCAATGTACCTATGAACACAGACTAGCACTGAAATTTGAGAGCTTGATCAGGTTTTCTTATATAGATTCAAAGCATTATGAAAATGGACTTAAATGTACAGGAAAATGCAACCACTGAAACCTAACAAAACCGTGGTTTGGTTTCTAAGACAACGGCCTCTGTCTAGATAAAAAAGGGGAACCCATTGGATTTGTGTGTGTACATTAGCTGGTGTGTCATGCTATAACACAAAAGTGTACTATGAAGCCTCATTTCCTTTAGATCTCATATTAAACTTAGTTTGTATGAGAAATCTGTTACTAGAGTGGAAGTTGCTTCTGCCTGTAATATTTGGAGAAGCTGCAAAATAGATTTACAAATTTAAAGCTTCTCCAAATACTACAGGCAGAAGCAACTTCCACTCTAGTAACAAGGTAGCTCATTGGATTTAATAGCTGTCATTATACTTGAAACAATTACATTTTTTTCCGAATCCCACAAAATGACCTAAATCTCAGAGAGAAAGAAGACTAAATAAAGAAACTGAAAAATTAAGGGGATTTCTGTTCTTTCTTGTCCAAAGTGACAGAAATCCCAGTGCATTTGATTTGATTACATTTATAGAGAATGATACGGTGGTGAAAATTTCATCTTTACAGTTTCCTAGCAAATAGGACTGTGGATGAACTGCGACTTGTGATTAAGACACAATAGGCATTATACTCAAAAGGCTATTTCAATACCTCTGAAAAAAATCCTTGTACCAATATCTAGGATGCAGTGCAAGCAGAAATAACTTTTAACAGAGTTTATGAATCCATGCCAACCATTTTTATTTCAACCCGAAAAAAAATCACTATACTAAGTACTAAAAGAAAAAGCCAGAAAGTCTTTTAATCCCCAAGAATATCACCTTATACTGGTCACTGCATGGAGGAAAAGCTTTGGAGCTTTGGAGCTAATTTCCTTGGGGAAGGGACCATTGCCTCTGTGTAACACATGGTGAGGTTCATTGACATTTGAGCGCAGGGAGGAGAAGGGGCTTTTTTTCCTCTCTTTCTCTCTAACTTCTTTCCATAAACTAGAAAGAATGGGAGCTGTGACATACAAATACTTGGATTGATATTGAGGCTTATCATTTACTAGGTTTGTGACTTTGGGCTAATTAACTTGCCTCATTTAGCTTTGTTTGCCTTATCTGTAAAGAGTAAAATTTGAATGCATTAGAAAATGTACATGAAAGCTCTTTGCAAGACAGAAAGTAAAAAAAAAAACAGCAAAGTGCAATGTTAAATTCTGTTAAGATCTACCATCAAACCTCATGGGTTCAAAGCCAAACTCTATTGCTTGAAACAATATGATTTGAGCAATTTTCTCAGTTTTCACATATTTATAATATAAATAATAATAGTCCATACTTATTAACATCATGGAGTGGATTCAAAATAATCTCTGATTAAAATATTTAAAAAACACGTAAATTAGTGCAGCCATTATGGAAAACAATATGGTGGTTCCTCAAAAAATTAAAAATAGAACTATCATATAGTTCAACATTTCCATTAACAGGTATATACATCCAAAGAAAATGAAATCAGTATGTTGAAGAGATATCTGCACTCCCATGTTTGTTGCAGCATTATTCACAATAGCCAAGATATGGAATCAACCTAAATGATTCAATGGATGAAGAAAATGTTATACAAATATATACACACACAATGGGATAGTATTCAGCCAAACAAAGAAGGAAATTCTACCATTTGCAACAACATAGATGAACCTGGAAGACATTATGTTAAGTGAAATAAGCAAGGCCCAGAAAGAAAACACATGATCTTAATTTCCTTTGGTTCTATATTATTTCACTCATATGTGGAATCTAAAACAAGTTGATCTTGCAGAAAGAGAGAATACAAGAGTGCCTATCAGAGGCTGGGGCAGGGAGTGGGGAGAGATGGGTAGAAGTTGGTCAAAAGATACACAATTACAGTTAGATAGGAGGAATAAGTTTAAGAGACAGCAAAGAAAGTGAATGTTGAGTGTTCTCACCACACAAATGATAGCTGTGTGAGGTAATGCATTTCTTAATTTAGTAGCGTTAACTATTCCACAATGTATATATACACTGGAAACATTAAGTTGTACATGATTATGTTCTACATTGTATGTAAATTTTCATTAAAATATGTAAATACATACAATGTTATCTGTCAAATTTTTAAAAATAAAAACATGTAGCAGAGGGTAAGCACTCAATAAATGTGAATTATTATTTTGATGTTGAAGATTATAGAGATGTGATTTTTTTTTGCCTTTTGTTTTTCTCCTTTTAGTTTCCCCATTTCATTTGTCTTTTATTTTTGAGATGGAGTCTTGCTCTGTTGCCCAGGCTGGAGGAGTGCAGTGGCCTGCTAGGCTCACTGCAACCCCCACCTCCCAGGTTCATGCGATTCTCCTGCCTCAGCCTCCTGAGTAGCTGAGACTACAGGCATGTGCTACTGTGTCCAGCTAATTTTTGTATATTTAGTAGATGGGGTTTCGCCATGTTGGTCAGGCTGGTCTTGAACTCCTGACCTCAGGTAATCTGTCTGCCTTGGCCCTGCAAAATGTTGGGATTACAGGCGTGAGCCACCACTCCTGGCCCTGTCTTCTTTTTTAATTCTTGTTTAGTTGTTATATTCCCTTTCTCTAAACCTTCCTTACTCCCTTAGAGTAATCTGTGGAATAGGTAGAAACTTGTGTATTCCAAGAGAGAACTTGTTCAAAGCCAGCTAAAGATTCCTGGGGCTATATAGATATCTGACCATGGATATGTTTAATGCCTCCTCAAGCTTTGTCTTACCAAATGGAGAGATTCATTCAGAAAACTCTACAAGTCGTTACGTATCCAATTAATATAAGTGTTTTAGTATTTTAGAGCAAATTTCTTTTTTTGAAGCTATTTAAAAAACATTCATTAGGCAGGCAGTATGTCATTCACAGGGAGTGCAGAGATGAATGAGACCGATATATTCTCTGTGCTTATTTGGCTTACATTCTGGTATAAGAACTACCAGAGTCATGAGACCCCAGATACCTTGCTTAAGGCAGGGACAAATTCTAAAGTGGACTATTGCCTGAAATCATACATTTGCTTGGCTTCTTCATTTTTCCTATTCTACTTCTTTCTCTCTTACTCTTTTCTCCTGGGAACTGTTTCTTTTTTGTTTTGTTTTGTTTGTTTGTTTTTGACGGAGTCTCACTCTGTTGCCAGGCTGGGAACTGTTTCTTAACATTTCACTTACATGGAATTCATACCCAGGGTCTATTTCCAGGGAACCCACCCTAAGAAAATGTTCAACAGGAAAAGGTGAACAAGCTGGTGAATATAATGTCACTGATTCCCTGAGTCAACAAGTGTCAACAAATGGCTTACCTTAATGACTTATGAAAATTTCCTTTGGTTGTATGTTATTGATTAAAGATGATTAAAGCAGTTAAAGTTAGCTCTAGGGCAAGAGTTCAGAGTGTCAAATTCTTAACCTATTCCAGAAAAATATATCAATTTACATAATCCCCTCCAAAACAGCACACATATGGGGAAGGGACATGCCGTTGGTGGCAGTGGAATGTCTCCCTCTTTCAGAATTAATCTTCAGTTACAGAGAAGACAGTGATGTTACGAGAATGAGAATAATAGTGGCAAACCTTATAGCACTTACAATGTCAGAAAGTTTTTCTTATATACTTTTTAAATGTGAACTTATTTTGAGCTCTTAAAAGCTTTCATACCTCATGATCATTATTCCCATTTAACCCATGAAGAAACTGAGACATAAACAGACAAAGTGGCTTGTCTAAAGTCACATAGCTAATAACTGGCAAACCTGGGATTTGAACACAGATATTCTGGCTTTAGAGAATGTGCTGTTAATCACAATATAATATAGCCTTTCATGTAATGAAATAATGGAATGATAACTAATATTAGCATAATCGTCAGTAAAACTATAGCAGCAGCACTGAGTATATACCATATGTCAACATGTCCAGGCACTATTCTACAGGTTTTACATATGTTATCTTATCCAAACTCATAAAGAGTTAGATAATACTGTATCCATGTTTAGAATTGGGAAGCTGAATCTGAGAGGGTTTAAGTAATTTATCCAAAGTCACAGTTAGATAGAGGTGAAGTCAGAATGAGAGTAAAATATATTGCATTTACACCAGAAAATTATGGGCATTGTAATGCAAAACCACTTCTCTTCCTCTTTGTCTTGTAGCAACTGAATTATCTTAGAGAAGGAAAGTACGTTTTTGAAATTTTACTTAGAAGCAAATTATATTATCTAAAACTTTTTACTACTTCTATTTACTAGAAAAAAACAAAAAGAACATTTTCTACATTTAAACATCATTTCAGTTTGATTACAGAGATGTTCTTTTATGTTCTCCTATATGTTTTATATTTTATATTGAAGTTTATGATGCACTTCAAATATTTTTGCATATGCTATGAATTAGAAGTGGAGGGTTTGCCTCTTTCTTCTGGTGTGGATAGTCAGTAGTCCAGGACTATTTATGAAAATGGTATATTTCCCTATTCAATTACCTTGACCATATATGTGTAGGCCTATTTCTAGATTCCTTATTTCAGTACTACTTTATGTTTATTATTGTAGCTTTGCAGTAAGACATATAATCAGTAGTGTACCTCCTCCAAATTTGTCCTTTATTTTCTAAATTATTTTGGCTACTCAAGGTCCTTTGAATTTTCATATGAATATTAGGAACAACTTGTCAATTTCTTAAAAAAATCTGCTCTAATTACGTATGGGACTGTGTTGAAATTATAGATTAATTTAGAGAGAATGAAAATCATAACCCCATTGTTTTTCTGTCCATGAACTTATGTATCACTTCATTTATTTAGTTTCCTTTAACTTTTATCATTATTCTTTTGTAGTTTGCCCATCTTTGATTAAATTTATACCTAAATAGTTTGTTTTATTGATTTCACTTTTTAACTTTTAATATTTTAAGAATTATGTGCTAATCATTTACTGTTAATATATAAAAATACAATTAATTTTTATAATGATTTTATATCCTGCAACTTGGCTAAATCATTTATTGGTTCTCATAGGTTTTTATATTTTCTAAAATTTTCTATGCATAAATTCATATTATCTATACCTACAGACTTTTACAAGTTCTTACTTTCTACTCATTATGCCATTTACTATTTTTTTCTTACCCTACTAAAATGGCTGAGGTTTCCAGTTAAATATTGAAAAGGAGTCATTAGAGTAAGCCTCATATATATCATCCAATTTATTTTTGTTTACAGTGGCAGGGCTAGTCTGGTATCAGTTCCTCCGTCATGGTAAGAAACCGACAGCTCTAAGATGCTTATACATTTTATAATACCAAATTACACTACCTTTTAGCCTAATAAGGCCACCTTAATTGAAGATGCAATAAGTAGCCATTGATAATAACCACATATGATTTTATGTTTTTTTTTCTCATTGATAATGCTATCTATTCTGGTACTATTTTGTTCTATTCAGAGTTTCTTAAGATGCCTGAGCCTAGTAATAATTCTCAATAAAATGTTCTCCAGCAATATATCCCAATGTTCTTGACTGATACATACCTTTTTTATGCTCTTCTTAATATCTTTCTTTAATAGTCCATTATTTAAGATCCCTGTTCTATGCCGTCCATATGAATAGGAAATCTACTGTGACATAGTATAAAAAGTATGGACTTTAACTCAAAAGGAATTTGCTTTCAGTTAATAGCAGTAGTACTTACTAGCTGGGGGTCAGAAGGCTTTCTTAGGCCTGAATGTTCTCATTTATAAAGTAAGACAGCATTGTTAAGAGCATCAGCGATGCTATGTTTACAGTGCCTAGCACAGTTCTTGACATGAAGTAGATTGTTGGGAAAACAGCATCAGTTCTGTCACATTAATTTCAGTATTTATATTAAACATCAATTTCATATAATGTTATCAATAAGAATGGAGATCCTCCATCTCCATTTCACGTTACTGGGCCTTGTTCATTTAAAAGTGGTGTTCCTTCCAGCCTGCACCAAAATCCAGCCCCCACAGTGGTTCTATTCTGGATTATCTAATCGAACCTTTGCAGGGTCCCAGTCATCCTAGCTCACTCTCTTCAATCCCCAACTCCTAACTAAAAAGTCATTCCCTGAAAACTTTGTTCTTCAACCCACCTTAATATTCCCAATTACACAATTTTATGCCTTGACACAAAAGCTCCATTCTCATCTATTATGTTAAAATTGGCCTATTTGAACCAGAACCCAAAACATTAGCAAATAACATATTTTTTTAAGGTTAGGGGGAGCTCAGTATTTAAACAGTATGCCTTATCTCAGCCCCCTAAAGAAAGGACACTGGGTGCCCCCTGGTTGTGGATGGTGGAGTACTTGCCTCTTCCTCACCCTTCAGGTAATTTTTTTAAAATGCAGATGACAGTGACAATGAAAACACAATTGCTGCTATATTAGCACCAAGCTCAATATTCATGTCTTTCTATAAAAACATTTTCATTAAATCAATGTAATTTATCTTATGCTCAATTTAACAAGAAAGTTTGAAGTCATCACTTTAGGAGATCTCTCAATTTCACCTTAAATATCTAAAATACATTAAATACAGCCTCACCAAGAATAAGGATATAGGTGACTGCATATTTATTTCAAATATAAGAATCCTAAGATATAGAATATAACTATTAAACTATTTCAAAAATCATCCAAATAAAAGCAATTTTGATGGCTCCATAACTGGAAACACCATGATGAGGATAATAATTTCTCATCTGAATAGATTTCCATAACCCATTCTGCGGCAGATTCTAATCTCAGTACAAGAGTATCTCAGACCCCTATGGCAACCTGAGTAAGTTCCAGTTCTGGGGAAGAAAGGGGATAGTTGTCAATGTTATCTCAGTGACTAACATCTTTAATAAGTGCACTCCTATGTAAAACTTTTGTGGGAGGTCTAATTTTCAGGGGAAGAAAGAGAGAGAGGAAAAAGCTAGAAAAGAAAAGAAATAAAGAAGGGGAAAGGGAAAGGAAAAGGAAAGGAAAGGAAAAAGGAAGGAAGGAAGGAGGAAGGGAGGGAGGGAAGGAAGGAAGGGAAAGAAAAGAAAGAAAGAAAGAAAGAAAGAAAGAAAGAAAGAAAGAAAGAAGGAAAGAAAGAAAGAAAGAAAGAAAAGAAAAGAGAGAAGGAAAGAAAAGAGAGAAAGGGAGGAAAGAGAGGAAGTAAGGAAGGAAGGCTGGAAGGGAGGGAGGGAGGAGAAAGAAAATCTCCCTGAACAGGTTAATAGCAGGTTCAAGGGAAGCATCTCACAAGATGTAAAAACAAAGAATAAAAAAGTTAAAAGAATAAAAAGTTATTTCATGTCAACTCTTACATAGGTGTTTTACCTCCAGATTCCCCCAAAGCCAAGCCTGAGCCAGAGATTTACAGGCAAGTATGTTTTCTCCTTGGAGGAGGAGGGATTGATACTGGGTAGCAGGAGCAAGAGACAGAAGTTACACTGGAAAGATGGAAAGCCAAGATAAAAATGTGTTACTCCATTTGTTACTACTATGGGCAACTGTCGCTTCTTCTTACAAAACATTCTGAACAGGTTTATAAAATACGTTTTGGAACTTTCCACTCAGGGAACAAGAGAGAGAAACATTCATCCATTGGTTTACATTGGTCAAAGATTGGCTCAACAATTACCATTTTTCTTACGCTTTTGAGTGACATATATCTGAGTACTGGAAGAGTTCTCATAAGAGTCCCACGGTGCAGTGTCAAAGAAACCATTGGTGAAAACAAGAGGCACACAGAAGTGGCACCAGGTGAGACACTCTGGAAGTCTGTAGTCTTTAACCTGCAGAAATCTGATTAAATCCTGCATAAAACTGGTTGCAGAAATAATGTCTGGAATAAGAGGGGAATTTTAGATGATTTGAACTGGTGCACAGAAAGTGTTTAATAGACTAGGGTTTTTCCTGTCACTAATGGTAGTTCTTTTCCACCTCTGCAAATAGAGTTTGCTAATTAGTTGCCCTATTGAAACTGAATGTCAGCATGATGGTAGACAATTAAAATCATCTCCTGTTCCCAATCTCACTGCTCCGCCTGCATCAGGCAAACTTTTAAAATGATGCCTCTGAAGATAGATCATCACACTCCACTATAGAGGTATCAGATTTCTCCAGCTCTTCCTTGTCCTTCTGTGTTACAGCTCTTTCTTCTTAAAACATGAAACATTAAAAGTGTTTGTTGAGTGGGGTAGCAGAATGGAAAGAGAATATCTGGTGAGATATGATGAGTTTTTAAATCTACCAATGAGGAATGTTGAATATACCTGCATTTGTGTAACTAATCTACATAAATGTTAAATATTTTCCTGATAGACTAATCAGAGGGCATCTCTATTGAGGACACTGATTTGAGTGGTGTTTGGGTATACAGGCACAGTGCTCTATGCCAACAGCCCTGAATTCAAGCTCTTGGTCTTCTGTGGCCTCCATGTGTGTATAAAGCTTCCAGAAATGACTTGGTGCCCAAGAGAAGGTTTGGGGAAGTACTAAGAACACAGGTGAACCAACAGAGGTCTGAGATAAACATGGATCTTCCCAGAGAGAGTCGACATGATCATGACAATGAACTTCAGCAATGGGTTCTAGTTCAATGCACCAAAGAAATAGTTAGGGCCAATTGTCCCTTTGCAAATCCATCTACAACTCAGGTTAGACTAGCAACACCTAGGAAGAGGAGAGCTTATGGGTCTCTTCATTTGGTTTCTAAAGTAAAGCAGCTCCATACATCCTGCCCTCAAACATCCAGATACCATCTTTAGAAGAATAGTGGGATGAAGAGGAACTCTTAAAAACTAAAAATAATTTACCCTGACTAATATATTTGAACAACAGTATTGTAGAGAAAGAGTGTGAGTTGTTATTAGTTGACAATTTACATTATCATTGTGTTTATGTGTGGCTGAATATTTTTTAAACCTTGATATATAAACTAGCAAAACGGAGCTAAATTCCAGGCAGTGTAGCCAGAGGGGAAGAGAAAAACTCTTGCATAATCAAGTGCCCACCAAGAACTCTCAAAACTGTACTCACAGGAGAGACTGTGGGTGACTTGGAGGTTCAGGGAAGGGAGGAACATGTAAGAGATGGATACACTTATATATGCAGTTTCCTTATTATTTCTCTTTGAGAAAAAAAATTTACTAATTGTCCCTTCTGGACAATGGGAACTTTGATATTTTGAGTGTGCCATAGGGAAACTTGGATTTTATTTTCATGATGTACAGTACAGTTGCTCTTTATCCAGTCCTCATTGCAACACACAGTGTCTCCTCTAAAAGTTTGGGCAAATCTAAAAGTGTATTTATGTTAGCTTTAGCATTTCTCAAAAAAACAAGAACTTCTCAATAACATTATCTGTACTAAAATATTTCATTGTAAGCATCTTTCATATTAGCCAATTTTATGCTCTGTGAATGTATCTCTTGTTGTCAGGGAATTTGGGCTTCAGTTTTTTTTTTTTATGAAACACGATAAATTATACATATAACATATTTCATATCCTTATAGCCAGAAAGTAAACCTGTCACCATGCAATTGAAAATGGGACCCTGATTGATATAGTACTTTGCCAAGTAGCCTCTGTGAAGTGACTGACCCTCTTATGATTTAAAAATTTATGCATCTCAGCAGTGATTATTCATCTGTCCATGCATCCTTTTTATATGACATTATTGCTTTTGTGTTCTATTTAATTCAACAAACCTATATTGAATAAATTTTGTACATCAGTAGCTTTTCTTTGCTCTGAGGATAAGAGATTACGACATTGTTTCTGTCCTTGCAGAGCCCACAGTCTAATGAAAGAATTAGACATGTGAAAATTCCTATAAGAAAAATTATAATCAAAATAAATGATAAATCCCAGAAACTCCAACTATAGAATAAATCAAGTGTGTCTGAAGATAAGGGAAAATGGGTGTATTGCAGAAGAAAATTAACACTGAGCTATGTTATTTAACATTATGTAGGAGTTTGAGGTTATTTAAGATTATGTAGGAGTTTGCCAAGTGGACATGAGGCAGGTAAAGCGAAGAAGATGCAGATTTTCCTGAGATAAAGTAGTACATGCATAAAGACACTGGGAAGTGAAGTAACCCGCTGTGTTTGGGGAGTGGCAAGTCTGTCCACTGAATGAATAGAAAAAATTGAGTACGAAAAGGAAGGAAAAAACCTAGTTATAAAGGGCACTGAAGCCCATGCCAAGGAATGACTTTTAATGAGATGTCAGGAGATGTTAAAAGTAACACCTTGGCAGCCAAGCATGAGGCTAAAATTAGATGCTTTCCTCCTTCAGCCTGAAAAGTTTCTCAATATGGCCTCTGGTCTTCTTAAAATTCAGAAGTAAACCATGAAATTTCTAGATTTGAGGCTTGGGAAGAAGAGAGAAATTTCATCAGGATTGGAATAGAATTTTGAATATCAAATTTCTCTATTGAACAATAACATCTTTGACTTTAGGGAGAAAAATAATTAATTGGTCCTGTCCAGTTGCATTAGAGCAGCAATACCTTAGCATTAATTATTTTATATAATTGTTCAAATGTAAGTAAGTGAAAAAGATTTCAGTACCTGCAAGTTTGTACACTGAATCTAACTCTAGTTCTTGGAAGAAGAAAGCTCATAAGCAGATTTCCCCAGAAGGGATAGTAGAGAGAGAAAATGAAGACATAAAATCAGTAAACAAATACATGAGGTCTGCCAAATGATTCTGTTTCCCCTTGAATGCTGTATCTGCACTAAACGCACACTGATGACAAATGGAATGCCTCCATTTACTAGCAGGTTGATCCAGAGGACCCACAATTTCTGATGTATCACTCCAATTTCCGTATTCAGAAAACTATCCTCTCCTTACAAAGCTCTTTAGGACTCTCCCTTGGGGCTTTGTTGCCTACAGTGATCAAAAGACAGCCAACAAAGGGAAGCATCAAATGGAACCAAAATGAGGAGAATAAACATAAAGGGACTTTCCAAAGGCGATTTGTTGCTAAATGAGCGCAGTCCTGTGCTATTGTGCATATGTCATTCGATCCGTGTTCAGCCTGGTCCTGGAGATCAATATGCATTACTAATCAAAATGGCATAGGAATCAGTGCTACAGTCACCTAAGTGATACCAAGTGGCTTTTATTGTATTTCAACATTGACAGTCACATATGTTCCATTGAAATTCTTCAAAGGCAAAATCAGTGAAAGGAAAAATTCTCAGCCAGTGTTGGGAGAGTGTTTTTATGCTCTGAACTAATGTTTCCATGTGCAGGAATACCCCAAAGGCAACACACATGGCCTAGAATTTCACTCCCACCTCACTTCTCCACACATGGCTACCTATTGTGGGTTAATACTGGTACACTTTTCTCAGTTGGGAAGTGAGAATTTCTTATAAGACCGTGAAGATTTGGTCTCTTTTCTTCCACCTCTTACCTGGGCCATTGAAGGATACTGATTTGAGAAGTGCTCTGAAGAACTCACATTTTTCCTGAGGTGGGTTGCCCCAAAGATAGATAGGGGAAGAGGTGTGGCCTGTTCCCCACCTGTTGGGGATCAAGCACAGGAGAAGAAGCTTTTGAAAGCCAATTTGTCCCTCAGACCTAAGCCAAATTTCACAAACAGCATTATCTATCATAAGGATGATATTTCTGTTTTTAGTTTTCATATGCTTCCATATGCCTTCCCATTTAATCCAGGCTAATGCAGAATACAGAATCCAGACTAATGCAGACTACACATAAGTTACAGAAGATACAGAATCTTGGTGAGTAAATTCAGTACAATGAGATATCACCTCATACCTGTTAGGATGGCTACTAACTAAAATGAAAAAAAACAAGTGTTGATGAGGATGTGAGAAATTAGAACCCTTATGCACTGTTAGTGGGATTGTAAAAGGTGCAACCACTATGGAAAATAGTATGAATGTTCCTCAAAAAATTAGAAATAGATTACCATGCGATCCAGCAATCCCACTACTGGGCATATATCCAAAGGATATG